>NC_000009.12:63008371-63202862 GCF_000001405.40 Homo sapiens | reverse complement strand
GAATTCATTTTTCAAACAAATAAAGAGGCTTGAAATGGTGAACAGCTATTCTTTTCTGCCTACTAGGGATGAGAAAGTACAGGCTGTTTTCAAATTAAAACCGGAAGCATATACAATGAGACATTATGTGGACTGTTGTGACTATTAGGGTTGTTAGATCATGTGCTGTGTTACTGTGGGATGTTTGGGAGGGTCCTTTGAATATATTTTATTATCAAAAATTTTATTTTTCTGATGTATATAATCAGAAACTCTTGAAGTAGACAACTATATAAATATTAAATGCTCACTTCCAATATAATATTCATTTGATTAATAAAACTGGAGACAATTTATCTTAGTTGGTGGATTATACTATACTCATCCTTGGTAGATTATACCATAAAACTGAAGTATTTCCACCTCAGGAAATATTCCCACCAGTTAAGTTGATGTGCATTGCCAGAGTATAGTTACTTTGTTGAATTTCCACATGTAAACTCTTTTATTGAATTAGATATGTAGAAAAGTCATTGTTCTATGCTTCATCACCAGTTACCAGTGGCATTTGTTCTTCTCTATATAAACTTAACATAGAAAAATTATAACCTACCTATCTGTATATTCTACACAATATAACTGCTAATTTTATCATCGGTGAGATGGTACAAATAATTCAACTGTCAAATTAGACTCATATGAAATAGAAATGTTTAATCATTTTTAGGATATAAAAGTCTAGTGTCTAGAGGCTCAGGGAGAACTAAGGTGAGAGGTTGAGTATTCACTGGATCTCTTCCTACTACGATAAATAAGTTCTGGCACATTACTTACACAAAAGATAAAAAGTATCAGTAATAAACACTTCCATTTTATAATCAAATAGGCACAAAGGATGCATAATATTTTCCAGGAAGCGATGCCCCATATATCCATAGATTCTAGGGTTGCTTTTTTTTTTTTTTTAACACAGGAGATGCTAAACAACCAAGTACATGCTGCTAAAAACACCTTGCAGATAAAAACCCTCCCACTAGCTAACGTAACTAGCTTGTTTGCAAAAAGTCTGCTTTTAGCATGTTTACAAATGTATTAGTCTGCTAGGGCTATTATAACAAAGTATCATCAACCAGGTGGCTTAAGAGTGGGAATTTATTTTCTCACAGTTCTGGAGGCTAGAAGTCTAAGATCAAGGTGTCAACAGGTTTGGTTCCTCCTGCGGCCTCTCTCCTTTGCTTGCACATGGCCGCCTCCTTACTGTGTTCTCACATTGCCTTTTCTTGATGCAAGCACTTCACTGGTGTCTTTTCCTCTTCTTAAAAGGACACCAGTCCTATTGGACTAGGGTCCCATTCATATGACCTTAATTAACCTTAATTACCTCTTTAAAGGCCGTATCTCCAAATGCAGTCACTTTGCGGGTTAGAGACTCAACATATAGGTTATAGGGGAACTTGATTTATTTCATAACAACAGGGATATGACTTTTATTTCCTTGTCCTCTATATAAAGGAAGAGCCTAGATAGCAGATCTGCTTCCCATCCTTTTTTTCTCAACGAAGAAGGATTTATGTTTTCCAAAAACAAAAAAAAAACAAAAAACTCTTGAATTTTATCTCACGAGAGCAAATGAATTCAATCATTCAGCCCCTAAATGCCTCAAAAGTCTGTAGAATAGAGCAGCTTCAAAAGAACAAGTGGGAAGTAATGAGGAAGAGTAAGAGACAAAGCTTCACAAAGGCTGTGTTAAAGAAGAACTCTTACTCCTAGTGAATTCTGAGATGATATCACAGACTCAATTTATATGCAAACCTGAATTTAAGTGTACTAAAAATATAAAATTCACTTTGGAGCTAATGAAGTAACTTTTCGTCCAAAAAAATATATTACTTTAAGTATTTCTCCTGTAGTAAAAGTATTTACCGTTTTATTCATAGCTTTGGATTGAGCAAATATATCTTAAGATATATGTGTCATAATATAGACTATAACATAAAATGCGGGTGAACACGGTAACTCACTTTTACATCATAATCAAGTCATTAGCTTCTCATTTCCACAATTAAAAGAAATATGTCTTATGAGCTATTCAAAATCTTAGGTTAGAGAAAGTTACCAAGTAATTAGCTGCCATTCTGGACACACAGAAATTAGAGTAACAAAACCAGTTCACACATAGATACATTCTTTGAGAGACAGAATAGTGGATTAACCACAAATATAAAGTAGAGAATGCAGAGAATGCCCCTGATGGAATTCTCAAGAAAACAATTTCTAGTGCACACAGTTGGCTGCCTAACCCTCTTACATTTTCCTTATCTTTCTTTTTTTTAACAGAATCCATATTTTATTCAGATATCCATTCTATCTGTAAATCGTCCCTGTGTTTAGGGAAAGATCAGCTTTATCCATAGAAGGGATATCTGAGTAAAATAAACAGAACTCCCCAGTTCCAGAGTTGGGCCTCAGTTACTCTTAGACAATGTGGGTAATTATTTTCCCATTGCTCCTGGTTGTTTCAAAAAATCAGACATACATCAGTCAGTACCTGTGTTTGTAAATTGTTATCTGGGAATAAGCAGACAGTGCAAATAGTTTCTATTATAATATAAAGAAGGAAAGACTTCTATTCATAAAAGGGGAAAACTCTTTCCCTTGTATTCACTGGATTTGAATGAGAAATCCTGTACTGCTCATTGCTCTTACCAGCCATTGCATACTACAAGGGGAAGCAGAAGTAGGATGAAGCTAATAGGTGAACTGCAGGGTGGAGAGGCAGAAAGAATGTGCTTCCTTGCTGAGATCTCTGAACCATAAATCAAGCAGAGCTGAAAACTTTTCTACCTATCTACTTCAAATATATAATATACAATCTCTTCATTGTTTAGGTGGGCTTTATTTGCAGGGTATAAGCTGTAAGCAAGTACTAATACTTTATAAAAGTATTTCATAAAGTAGTTTACAGTAACTCAGGTTGATTTGTGCCGTTAAGGAAAAAACTTTTACTTTTTTATTACTAAAAATGTATGTAAATCTCACTGGCACTGAATGCATTTTTCAAACAAAGAGGCTTGAAATGGTGAACAGCTATTCTTTTCTGCCTACTAGGGATGAGAAAGTACAGGCTGTTTTCAAATTAAAACCGGAAGGGCCAAAGATGTAAATAAATGTGACTGATAGAGGACAGCATAAAAGAAAAAATAAGTTTTTTTTTTTAAAGCAGGACTGTGAGAATTTTAATAGAGTCTAGATTGGTGAATAAAAAAGAATAGAATATCCCAAAAAGTGCATATTAATGCTCAAACCAGTAAAGAAATATGAGTTACCACTTTGTGGAAAAATAACATGGGTAGATTCATATGCCCCTACTGCGTGTAAGATTATTTTTAAAGAGATTAAAGCATTAAATGTAGAAAATAAAACCACAAAGGCTCTAGAAGTAAACATAGGACATTTCCTTTATAACCTTTAAGTGGTTAAGGTATAAGTAATTATAACTAAAAGTCTAGAAGCTAAAAGATTAAAAAATGGGTATATGTGAATACAGTAACAATAACTTCATGAAAAAATATTGTAAACATTCACTTCTCAGTCTTTTGGCTAAGATCAAGTGAAATATTGTAAACAAATTGAAACTACAAGTAATCAATTAAAGAATAATATTTACTCTTCATATAGTATAATTTCTTTACTATATGATGTGTTTCTAGAAATTTATGAGCAAAAGACTCAAACTCAAAAGAAATATAGGCAAGTATATAAACAATTGATAGAAAGTAAATGCAGGCCGTCGCGGTGGCTCACACCTGTAATCCCAGCACTTTGGGAGGCTGAGGCGGTTGGATCACGAGGTCAGGAGATCGAGACCATCCTGGCTAAAGCGGTGAAACCCCGTCTCTACTAAAAAAAAATTAACCGGGTTTTGTGGCGGGTGCCTGTAGTCCCAGCTACTCGGGAGGCTGAGGCAGGAGAATGGCATGAACCCGGGAGGTGGAGCTTGCAGTGAGCCCAGAATGGCGTGAACCCAGAAGGTGGAGCTTGAAGTGAGCCAAGATTGTGCCACTGCACTCCAGCCTGGGCAACAGAGTGAGACTCCATCTCAAAAAAATAAATAAATAAAATAAAAATAAAAAATTAAGTAAATGCAAATGACTTTTAAGTATACAAAAGTGTATTCAAGTTCAACCATAATAAAACTACAAATAAAACTCTATCAATATTCTTTCACTTATTAGAATAGCATATTTAATAACACAAACTTCAGCAAACATATAGAGAAGTAGGTACTACCATTCATGCATCCACATGATTGGAGTATAAATTAGTACATATTTATCAAATAAAAAATGCATGTGTGCATGTCCAATCAATTATACTCTAGGCAGATTATCCTAAATAACTACTTACATATAAAACGACATATATGACTATATTCATTGCAGAAAAATATATAAGAACAAGATTCTGAAAACAACAAAGTTTTTAATATAGTACGACTTAATGATGACACATCCCTTTGATGTTCTGCAATAGTAAAAATACTGAAAATTTTCTATATGTATTAACGTGGAAAGTTTTTCAAGATAAATTGCTAACGAATAAAGCAATGTGCCAAAAGGATACGTGTTATGCTGTCCAAATAAAGGAAATCAATAATGTATTTTGTTATTTCTTATATATACATAAAATACTTAAGACACCAAGAAGCTGTTGTTAAGAGGTAAGAACTGGGCAGACAATAGAAAAGGATAGAATGTGGAATTTTCCAATTCTGTATCATGTAAATGCATCACCTGTTCAAAAAATAATGTTCACGGTTCCCTACATTTTCTGAGAAATATCCAACTCTTTAGCCAGTAATTTACAGCCTTTCAAAATTGTTCCGGTAATATTTCATTTTTCTTGCTCATGCTAAACCACCTTCTCATCAAACTATTCAGTACCTTAAATTCTACTAAAATTTCTTTGTGGCATCACACACATACCCATTTCGATACACTCTTTTTCTATTATCACCTGTAGAAACCTACATAACTTCACAGCACATCTCAGATGCCAGCTCTTTCAAGATCTTCTCTGATAAACCCAAGGAGAAATAATTTTTCCCTCATCAAAATCCTTAGTGCACTTGGGATTACATCACATATTCTTCTTATAGGAGTGGTCTTTCTATTAGCATTGAAGGTCCTTAAGAGCAAGATTGCTTTTTAAACATCTGTATTTCTTAAAGTATTCTGTGCAAAATACTATGCTAAACCCTGTATTTACTCAAACATTTTAGCTTAATGAATTAAAATATGACTCAAAATGGAATGGTAAGTTGTTCCATCTTAATATATTAAGAAATATCACCAACAGCAACTACATCAAGAAACCAAGAAGACGACCTTTAATGGAATATTTGATGGACGCTGAAGTGAGTCTATTAACAAAAACAAACAAAAAGAATCAGGGACTACATTTGCCATTAATTCTAAAATTGTTGCCATTTAGAGCCTCACTGAAATATAGGACCAAATAGCTGTTGCTCTACCAGTAGCAGTTCTCATATTAAATGATGAATTTGCAAGTCATGCCCCCTAGGATTTCATCTGTTCTCCTTGAGAAAATGTCAATAACTTCTATAAAGAAAGAGTGGCCCTAGTTAGAGTTTTTTAGTTCCAAGTCTATGTTTAACCCATTAAGAAATAATTCATACTTAGTATATATTTTTAAAAAACACTAAAATATAGTCTAAATTTTCCTGATTTTTTAAACTATGTAGGAATTATATAATAAAATGTGATTACCTAAGAGAATGTTCTGGTTTTTAGGACATATACAATAAAGTACTTAGGATTAAAATAATAAGATGGCTCCAATTTGCAAATAGTATAGAAAGGAGAGAGAGAGAGAGAGCACACTACCAATATATTCAAATGTAATTTAGAAAAAAATCTGGATAAAAGGGTATATAGGACTTTCTTCTACTATTCTTGCAACTTCTTTCTAAGTTTAAAATTATGTCAAAATGGCTGGGTGTGGTGACTCACACCTGTAATCCCACCACTTCGGGAGGCTGAGGCAGGTGGATCACCTGAGGTCAGGAGTTCGAGACCAGCCTGGCTAACATGGTGAAACCCTGTTTCTACTAAAAATACAAAAAATTAGCCTGAATTGATGGTGAGCACCTGTAATTCCAGCTACTCGGGAAGCTGAGGCAGGAGAATCGCTTGAACCCAGGTGGCGGAGGTTGCAGTGAGCCAAGATTGTGCCACTGCACTCCAGCTTGGGCAACAAGAGCAAAACTCCATCTCAAAAAAACATAGTATATAAAAATAGGAGTTACACACACACACACACGTTAATGTACAACCAGGCAAACTGAGTCTATGTTAAAATTCGGTCATCACCTGTAAACTAGTTCAACCATTGTGGAAGTCAGTGTGGCGATTCCTCAAGGATCTAGAACTAGAAATACCACTTGACCCAGCCATCCCATTACTGGGTATATACCCAAAGGATTATAAATCATGCTGCTATACAGACACATGCACATGTATGTTTATTGCAGCACTATTCACAATAGCAAAGACTTGGAACCAACCCAAATGTCCAACAATGATAGACTGGATTAAGAAAATTTGGCACATAGACACCATGGAATACTATGCAGCCATAAAAAATGATGAGTTCATGTCCTTTGTAGGGACATGGATGAAATTGGAAATCATCATTCTCAGTAAACTATTGCAAGAACAAAAAACCAAACACCGCATATTCTCACTCATAGGTGGGAACTGAACAATGAGAACACATGGACACAGGAAGGAGAACATCACACTCTGGGGACTGTTGTGGGGTGGGGGGAGTGGGGAGGGATAGCATTAGGAGATATACCTAATGCTAAATGACAAGTTAATGGGTGCAGCACACCAGCATGGTACATGTATACATATGTAACTAACCTGCATATTGTGCACATGTACCCTAACACTTAAAGTATAATAAAAAAAAAAAATCTCAGAAACTAGAGTCAGAAGAATAGCCAAAAAAAAAAAAAAAAAAAATTCAGTCATCACTATCTTTAATGGATGGAATGGAGTTTAGAGTAAATAGTGCAGGGAAGGTAGGGTTATGAGGTTTTAGTGTTCTCTTTCTTAATCTGCATTCTGATTTCCAGATTATTGTTCACTTGATAAAATTTTATCAAATTGTGCCCTGATAATCAGAATGTAAGAATGTCACATTTTCTGTAAGATATCCTTCAATGAATTTTAACAAAAATATTATGAAAAAATAAATTTCTCTTTTTTTTACTTGATTACCCTATTATAGAATGCATATGTTTAGTGACTTTGTATAGTGATAAGAAAATACCTCAAACAGGATTTAAAAAAACGTAAAAAGATGTAAATGACACTTTTCTTTATTTTTTATTTAATTTATTTATTTATTTATGATAGGATCTCACTCTGTCACCCAGGCTATAGTGCAGTAGCATGATCACAGCTAATTTCAGCCTTGACCTTCTGGTCTCAAGTAATCCTCTCAAGGCCGCCTCCCATTTAGCTGGGACCACAGACACGTGCCACTATGTCTGGCTAATTTTTTGAATTTTTGGTAGACAGGGTCTCACTTTGTTGCCTAAGGTGGTCTTGAATTGCTGGGCTCAAGCAATCCTTCAGCCTCAGCCTCCCAAAGTGCTGGGATTATACGCATGAGCCACCAGGCCCAGCCACTTTTCTTTAATTGAAGTGCTATAGCCAATACCAAAGTTGATGGCCTCCCATCCAACTTACAATTTACAGTATAGCACCTATACATTTAGTCTGCTGCTCTAAATGTCTCCCAGTAATCAAACTGTGTGTGAAATTCATAGTATGGGGCATACTATTTTTTAATCATTCTAACTACTGTAATTATGTCCTTATCTGTATTCATGTCCTGAAAGTTTATGCAAGTAAAATTAGCATAATGACATTTAAGTTATTTCATGTTTATGTGCATGCATTTACTGGACATTGCTATTTTTTATAACCTTACATTTTAAATTTCTACTTTTCATCCAAGAACTCTCTCAAAATGTTTGACTTACCTTCTTTTGTTTTTACATTTTTCTGTTCTTCAATTTTTTCATTCATCCAACATATACTTAAATATCTAAGTTTTAAGGTAACTATATGTGCCGGTATATTTGCCTATAAATCATCATGCACATAGAAAACACTTTTAGAAGCTTCCTCTTTCATACCAAATTCAAACCATAAGGTCTAAAGGAAGTACTTAGAGGTTGTGGTATACACACATTTATTTTACTGAAAACTGAAAATAACGCAGACAAAAGGATGAAACTTATTGGGAATTGGTATGATACATAAGATATCTTTCACTCAGAAAAAAAGTAAGAATATACCATACTAAGTTCATTTTCTTCAAAAATTTGGATCCTTTCATTTTCTAGGGCTGCATATCCTTTTTCCTAAAGAGGAACTCCACATTTTATAAGTTGCAGTTCCCATAAAGACTAGATCTCTTCCTAGTTTTGATGAACTATACCTGGGAAACCAGAGGTATGGCAATCCTAAAACGAATATAGGAAAAGAGTTCCAATAGACACAGATTCCCTTCCCCTGGTGAAAATGAAGATAGAAACAACAACAACAAAAGATATTATGTAATATAAAATAAAACAAATGTTCATTATATTTGAACCTGTATTCTCTTTTCTAAACTGAGTTTCAGAGGGCAAGGAACATGTCTGTCAGATACTACTTTCTATCCAGTACACATAGTAGCTGCACAATAAACATTTATGACATGAATTAATTAGCGTTTCTCTGGCCTGCCAATGCCCTGTATATAGAAAATCTGTAAATTTCCACTAACTTTAAAAATACTCATATTTTCCTGGAACAGAAAGTAAAGATTACATGGCAGACAAAATTGCATCTGTCTACTAATGATTACCATGTAATCTTTACTAGATGGCCTTGTGGTTCTCAGTAAGAGTCAAGTGACAAAGGAGACAGAGGGAGCAAAGCTGAAAGACTTTAATAAACTCTCTTTGCAAATAATGTTTTTATTCAATGTCAACTTCTTATTAAAACATCCCAGGGCTTGACTCTTCTGAGTCTTTTATATACTTTTTTTCTACAACAAAGGAGAAAGCAATCACTATTGATTTGGGCACATATCAAAAAATGAAAAAAGAGAAATAAATAAATAGTTGCATTTCAATTGTGGCCACCATACAGCTAATAGTTTATCATAACTCTTAAAGGTTGGTCCCTAGGCTCTTATACAGGTTCACCCTTTGCTGACCTCTTACAATCTTTCTGTCAGCATTTTGAATGCTACTGATTCTGTGAGTAATATTTTCAACGGAGGTCAGACAGGCCAGTAAGTCCAGCGTGCCCTCTCACTTACGAATTCCCCTTCTTTTGTGGCTTTTCACCATGGGTTCACATGTCATGGACTCTACATCGCAAACTGCAGTAAACAAATTTCAATCGTGAGTGAAAGGAGAAAAAAGCAAATCCTACTTGACTATTGCTAGCTTGTTTACACCATAGGGCTAGAGTAAGCTGAAATCGACAGAGTATAAAGAAAAGAAGGTCCTCTTGAAGTAACACACACACTCATTTTCAGACTCATAGTTTAAATGCAGTCTTTTATTTGTCACTACCACTGCATTGTTATCAGAGGATTTATATGCCTAGAGCTGCCAGAAGTGTCACCAGCTCTGACAATGCCCATTTTGGAGCTTTTTCCGATGGCTTATTTTATTTATAGTCTTGATGAAACTGGGGCAGTCACAAAACTGATTAGCGATCTGGCAAACCGGGCCTGCTCTGCTAATGATCTGTGTAAATATTGTGCTGTAGAGCCTTTCTGTGACAGGTCATTGCTGCTAACAAACCGCAGAATGCAAACAGAGACCTGTGCTGCCTTCACTGCAGATGCACAGCAGCCAGCTTACACTGACAAAGCAAATGAAAATCCTCTTATTGTCGATCATCTCAAGTAAAATGGCCTAAAAATCAATTCTAGGATAGGCTTTCTTTCTTTCTCGAAGCTTTAATCTGGGGATGATGACAGTGATAATGGTATTTCATTATACACATAAAGTAAGAGAGAAAAACGTAATAAAACAAGATATAAAAGATGAATTTAAACAATGGATTGTGAAAGCCTTGCTGTTTGCTTCTGTTTTTAAAAATATTTTGCTATTTTTTCTTGGCTGCTGCCGTTACTACAGTTGTAGTCTGCACAGAATGAAGCCTTAATCACACAGTCATGCTGAAACATGTTTACAAAGGTAAAATTAATGGGTTTATCTTAAGCAAGATGTCTTTCTATGGCATCATTAATATGCTTTAGATTTTTTAAATAAATGTGTTTTTATTCTTCCAGTACATCAGAATTGGAATTGGAGTCATGTCAAGATGTTCTCACTGGCAAAGACAGGAGGAGGTTAAAATAGCTCCTTGTAGGGCAGTAACCTCGGGAGAAAAAGAACTAATAGAAAATAAATGGCGAGTATTTTTTTTGAATCATTTGTATGATAAGCTTATAATGTACTTGTCTCAATGCAGAAAGCACAAGGAAAAAATAAATATGTCCTCATCACATTGGTAGACAAAGCACTAAGCACGTAGGTTGTCAGAAATTCGATATCCCTTTCTCTTTTCTATATCCTCTACCAAACAGAAAGTTCCACATACATCTGAGACTTCAGTGTCTATGTGACTTGAGTACAATTTCCTTTTTCATCTTTGTTTTTCCTTTACTTACTCGTTTCCCTTTATTCTTACCTGAGATATAGAGAATAAAAAATAACACTATAGAATCAACCTTTTTTTCTAGGTAATTTAGAATAAATTTTCCAGAACATAAAAAGGATAATGATGGCATTATGTAAATTTGAGACCAAAATTTTCTGAATTAAATTATTTTTACATAGATAATGGTTCACTTCTGATTAGGAACATTAAATAAAAAGTAATTTTAACAATATGACAATACAACTTAGCCTTCTTGCATTATCTTTTTTAGCCTAAATATTTAATTATTATAATTTGCACAACATCGAAATTATAGTGCAATTCTTTTCTTTACAAAATAATCACAATAAAGTATTTTAATCAAGCAACTGAGCACATACAATTATTATTCTATGTCCATAAAATTTTTTTGCAGAAAACATTTATATAAAAATTTCAGTAGTCAAACATTGAGTAGCAGGAAAATACTATTAAATTTTAAAAACCAAACAAGCATTGGAAACAGAAAAATGGATACGAAGAGAAGCAAGTATTCTCCTGTATTTATAATTGTGGTACTTTACAATATATGTAATATATCTTTAGAAAGATTAATTGTCTTTTATTCTCACAGAAATCCTATGAGCCAGGCAGAGGAACTGTTTTTGTTCCCATTTTACTTCTGTAAAAACTGAGTCTCAAAATAACTGCTCCCCAGAAGTATAGAATGATTAAAGGTCAGAAACAGAGCCTGCATATTTTCATATTTGTTACACTTTTTTAGCTATTGTTGTCCAAGAGTACTCTTACTTTTGAGATACTTTCTTTATTTCACTGTTCAGAATTTTTATATTTGTATGATTTAACAAAATAATCGGTAAATTTCATTTTTGGGGATTAAAAATTAGGTTGTGGAAGCTACATTAGGTTGTGGAAGTTGTGCCCCATCTGAGACAAATCTTGGATTAATCAGTGATTGATTAAATTATTGAAAGTTTAGTTATTCAAAGAAATTGGCATAGAAGTACATTAAGCTAAGCTTTATCTGGTAAGATGGAGAACTAACATGATGTGGGCTTCTTTCTGTGACCACAACCCTGGAAATGACACAGAAATCAGCATCTAATACTAAAAGATGTGAGAAACCTTTGCAGTTACAAACTACAGTAAAGTCTGCGAGTAGAGAAAAAAATGACAGCAAAGAGCAGAAAACTGAGATGTAAGGAAACCAGAATGTGCTGGGGCGGAAGTTTTTAGTGGTCATCATTCCTTTTCATTGCATTCCTGTATTTTTTTCTGCTCTTTCAATAGTTAGAGTACCCACAGTGTGCAAGGCACTCTTCTAAATACTGAGAATACACTACAGAGCCAGAAAGACAAAATTTGACCAAATGGAGCTCCCATTCTAGCAAAACTAGAGTTGAAAAGAGACCACTGCTAACTCCTTTAAAGCCATTTTGGAGTCGGCCAGGCAGAATATGACTCAACCTAGCTTGGAAAATGAGGAAATAGTGACAAATGCAGAAAGACCATCTGAACCCTAGGCATTCTCCTCTAACCCAGCTACTCCATACAATGAGTGTTAGGATGGTGATTAAAACTGAGGGAGACCAGTCTTGGTAAACAGCACCACCCAGGACACGTGAATACACCAACTTTTATGGAGGAGGAAGGCAAACAAAGGGTGGCAGAATCCAGTTATTTCCTAAGGAGTCCTTCATTCTAAACACTTCTGGTGGGTCAATCTTGAGCCTGATTTTAGTGCCATGTATTCTTAATCAGCATAATAAATCTTACTAGGAAAAAATAGGCCTCAAAGGAATTCAATGACTCTAAAATAAAATACATGTATATCAAAGACAACCAGATTTACAAAAATTAACAATAGTTTAAAATATGTGACCATATGTGGTGGTTTACGTCTGTAATCCCAGCACTTTGGGAGTCCAAGACAGGAGCATTGCTTGAAGCTAGGAGTTTGAGATCAGCTCGGGCAACCAAGAGAGCCCCTGTCTCTACAAAATAAATAATAATTAAAAAAAATACCTAGGTGTGGCGGCATGCACTTGTAGTCCCAGTTACCAAGGAGGCTGAGGCAGGAGAATCTCTTGAGCCCAGGAGGTCAAGGCTGCAGTTAGCTAGGAGGCTGTCACCACTGCACTTGCTCCAGCCTGAGTAACTGAAAGACACTGTCTCTGAAGAAGAAAAAAAGTTAAAATAAATCCAAAAATATGTATAGTAAATGTTCTCAAAGACATAAGGCACAATATTTGAACCTGAAGAAGAAATTAGCAATCATAAAATATTTTTTCAGTATGAAAACCATATCTGTTGAAATGAAGGATTAAATATATGGTATAAACAGCAGAAGGGTTAAATTTGAGGAGTGCTCATTAGTGAGATGGAAGATAATGTTCAAATAATAACAAATTTTTTTTTAAATTTAGAAAACTAGACTTCACATGTACTGCTGATGGGAGTACAGACTGATGCAACTATCCAGAGAGCAATGTGGAGTGAAATGAAATCCAAACCTATGAACCAGCAATCCTACTCTTGATCCACATGGCAAATAAACTTAAGTTTAAACTCATGAAAGGATATGATATCCAGTAGAGACATTTGTTGTTGCAGGGAGTTGGAAGGAGGCAAAGAATCTATCACTGTAATACACACACACACAATTGTTTATAAAAATGGAATACAGGCCAGGTGTGGTGGCTCATGCCTATAATCACAGTGCTTTGGGAGGCTGAGGCGGGCAGATCACAAGGTTAGGAGTTTGAGACCAGCCTGTCCAATATGGTGAAACTCCATCTCTACTAAAAATACAAAACTTAGCCAGGCGTGGTGACACGCGCCTGTAGTTCCAGGTACTCGGGAGGGTGAGGCAGAAGAATGCTTGAACATGGGAGGCAGAGGTTGCAATGAGCCGAGATCATGCCACTGCACTCCAGCCTGGGCAACAGAGCGAGACTCCATCTCAAAAAAAAAAAAAAAAAGAAGAAGAAGTAATAGTGTGCTGTGCAGCATGAAAAAAAAATGAGGTAAAGATACACACGATAACAAGAATAGGTCTTAATAATATAGTGTTGGATTTACAAAAGTAAAAACTATATATACAACATATAACTCAAAAACAACCACAAAATTTTATAGTTTTCAAAAAATGCATATTCAAGGGTCTACCACAAACACATGAATGCAATTGAAGTAAGAGGGAGAAGCAGAAGGAAATAAAAATAGAGATTAGAGATTAGGGCAAGATAAAATAATTAGATAAAATAAATCAAGAAATTCCTATTTGATTTATCATGATAAGAATGTACTTTAAAAAGAGGATGACTACATAAAATGAGTTAGGGAGGAGTACCTCTTTTTCTATTGTTTGGAATAATTTCAGAAGGAATGATACCAGTTCCTCTTTGTACCTCTGGTAGAATTTGGCTGTGAATCCGTCTGGTCCTGGGCCTTTTTTTTTGGTTGGTAGGCTATAATTACTGCCTCAATTTCAGAACTTGTTATTGATCTATTCAGGGATTTGACTTCTTCTTGGTTTAGTCTTGGGAGAGTGGATGTGTCCAGGAATTTATAAATTTTTTCTAGATTTTCTAGTTTATTTGTGTAAAGGTTTTTATAGTATTCTCTGATGGTAGTTTGTATTTCTGGGGGATCAGTAGTGATATCCCCTTTATCATTTTTTATTGTGTCTATTTGAGTCTTCTCTCTTTTCTTCTTTATTAGTCTGGGTAGTGGTCTATCTATTTTGTTGATCTGTTCAAAAAAACCCCTCCTGGATTCATTGATTTTTTGAAGGAGTTTTCATGTCTCTATCTCCTTCAGTTCTGCTCTTAGTTGTTTCTTGTCTTCTGCTAGCTTTTGAATTTGTTTGCTCTTGCTTCTCTAGTTCTTTTAATTGTGATGTTAGGGTGTCAACTTTAGATCTTTCCTGCTTTCTCCTGTGGACACTTAGTGCTATAAATTTCCCTCTAAACATTGCCTTAGCTGTGTCCCAGAGATTCTGGTATGTTGTGTCTTTGTTCTCATTATTTTCAAAGATCTTATTTCTTTCTGCCTTAATTTCATTATTTACCCAGTAGTCACTCAGGAGCAGCTTGTTCAGTTTCCATGTAATTGTGCAGTTTTGAGTGAGTTTCTTAATCCTGAGTTCTAATTTGATTGCACTGTGGTCTGAGAGACTGTTTGTTATTATTTCCATTCTTTTGCATTTGCTGAGGAGTGTTTTACTTCCAATTATGTGGTCGATTTTAGAGTAAGTGTGATGTGGTACTGAGAAGAATGCATATTCTGTCGATTTGGGGTGGAGAGTTCTGTAAATGTCTACTAGGTATGCTTGGTCCAGAGCTGAGTTCAAGTCCTAAATATCCTTGTTAATTTTCTGTCTTCTTGATCTGTCTAATATTGACAGTGGGGTGTTAAAGTCTCCCACTATTATTGTGTGGGAGTCTAAGTCTCTTTGTAGGTCTCTAAGAATTTGCTTTATCAATCTGGGTGCTCCTATATTGGGTGTATATATATATATATATATATATAATCGTTGGCACTCCTTGTTGCATTGATCCATTTACCATTATGTAATGCCCTTCTTTGTCTTTTTTCACTTTTGTTGCTTTAAAGTCTGTTTTATCAGATATTAGGTTTGCAACCCCTGCAAGGCTACAGTAACCAAAACAGCATGGTACTGGTACCAAAATGGATATATAGACCAATGGAACAGAACAGAGGCCTCAGAAATAATGCCACACATCTACAACCATCTGATCTTTGACAAACCTGACAAAAACAAGTAATGGGAAAAGTATTCCCTATTTAATAAATGGTGTTGGGAAACTAGCTAGCCATATACAGAAAACTGAAACTGGACCCCTTCCTTAACACCTTATACAAAAATTGACTCAAGCTGCATTGAAGACTTAAACATAAGACCTAAAACATTAAAACCCTAGAAGGAAGCCTAGTCAATACCATTCAGGACATAGACATGGGCAAAGACTTCATGACTAAAACACCAAAAGCAATAACAATCAAAATTGACAAATGAGATCTGATTAAACTAAAAAGCTTCTGCACAGCAAAAGAAACTATCATCAGAGTGAACAGGCAACCTAAAGAATGGGAGAAATTTTTTGCAATCTACCCATCTGACAAAGGGCTAATATCCAGAATCTACAAGGAACTTAAACAAATTTACAAGAAGAAAAAAAACAATCCCATCAAAAAGTGAGCGAAGCATACTAACAGACACTTCTCAAAAGAAGACATTTATGTGGCCAAAAAACACATGAAAAAAATTCAACACTGGGCTTTACAAAAATGCAAATCAAAACCACAATGAGATAAAAATGATGAATTCATGTCCTTTGTAGGGACATGGATGAAGCTGGAAACCATCATTCTCAGCAAACTATCGCAAGGACAGAAAAACAAACACTGCATGTTCTCACTCATAGGTGGGAATTGAACAATGAGAACACATGGACACAGGAAGGGGAGCATCACACACCGGGGCCTGTCGTGGGGTGGGGGGAGGGACGAGGGATAGCATTAGGAGATATACCTAATGTTAAATGATGAGTTAATGGGCGCAGCTCACCAATATGGCACATGTATACATATGTAACAAACCTGCATGTTGTGCACATATACCCTAAAACTTAAAGTATAATTAAAAAAAACCACAATGAGATGCCATCTGGCATAAGCCAGTTAGAATGGATATCATTAAAAAGTTAGGAAACAACAGATGCTGGAGAGGATGTGGAGAAATAGGAACGCTTTTACACTGTTGGTGGGAATGTATATTAGTTCAACCATTGTGGAAGACAATGTGGTGATTCCTCAAGGATCTAGAACCAGATATATCATTTGACCCAGGAATCCCTTTACTGGGTATATACCCACAGGATTATAAATCATTCTACTATAAAGACACATGCACATGTATGTTTACTGCAGCAGTATTCACAATAGCAAAGACTTGGGACCAACAAAAATGCTCATCAATGACAGACTGGATAAAGAAAATGTGAAACATATACACCATGGAATACTATGCAACCATAAAAAGGATTAGTTCATGTCCTTCCTGGGGACACAGATGAAGTGGGAAACCATCATTCTCAGCAAAAATACACAGGAACAGAAAAACAAATATCGCATGTTCTCACTCATAAGTGGGAGTTGAAAAACGAGAACACATGGACACAGGCAGGGGAACATCACACACTGGGGCCTGTTGTGGGGTGGGGAGCTAAATAAATATAAATATAATTTAAATATATACATAAATATAATATAAAATGTTATGACTAAATTCTTTGTTAAATAAAAAGTGAATGAACAAGTAAACAAATGAATCAATAAAGGTAGATCAGTAAGATTGGACCTGTTACGTTTCTGATACACTTCTGTCAGCATCTATGCCAAGCTTTGCCTAATCACCTTAAGCTCCCAATGGTCCCAATTTCTTTATTCTTGACAAATGAACTCATTTCTACTTTATTGAAACCATCAGTGACCATCTATAAAGAGCTCCTTTATGTACCTATAAATCATCCTAGCTCACATTTTCCTACATTTGAAATCACCCATTCTTGAATTTTCAGTGCCCATTGTCCAGACTAACTTTTCCACTAGAACTTTAAATTCAATCAATTCCTTTTATCTCTAGCATCAAATATTCTCTATCAGCTTTAAGCTGTTAATCCTCTGTGGTTCCTCCTGTACTAATGCAGACTCATGTTAGTCCATTCCAAAAGACCTCCTTGATATGGCTACTATTACATAGTCCTTCCTTTATTAAAAATATTTCATCTCTAACTCCCTATTGTAACAATGTGTTGTTATGCTTTAAGTTTCTTCCTAAAATTTTTCATTAATAACCTACTAAGAAATAAAATATACTAACTTATAGTATTCTGTGACTAAGATATCTAAAGTTTGGTTTGATAGTCCATTTAAGGAGTAGATTTTCCCATCTCTCTCTTTGGGAAAAGGAACCTAGCCAAGCCCAGATTTGTGTGTCTATGTGAATCAGTAACACTTCAGGAAGGAAGTATGACATAGTGGTTAAGGTCACAATCTCTAAAATCAGACAAAGTATATTCAAATGCCAATCTTAGCAGTTATTAGGTATGTAAAGTTGAAGAATTTCATTACATCTTCTGATACAATTTTCTCATCTGCAAAAGTGTGTATTGGTAGTATAGGCATTATATTTTTGTGAAAATTAAATAAAACAATAAATACAAAATAATATTTTTAGTGTTAGGCTCATAGTAAAGGGTTACTATGTATTATTGTCATTTCACTGTGGCTCTTATTTCTGAAGGACAGGACAGTCTACTAAATGTATTGTAATGTAATGAAAATAACTAAGCCATGCTATTCTATTATTTTGTAAAGTATCTCTGGTTTTTCATTCATTAAAAAACATGCCTCTCTTTTGGGGACACTCCATTGTCCTTTTCTTCTAGTCACATTGAAGTCTGTTTGCCTTTGAAGGCAGCCACATTAACTCACTGTCTACAGGGAAAAATCACACCCCTTTTTATGGGAGGAAGTACAGATTTTTGATTCCTGAGTCCTGTTAATACAAGTAGCACCTCAGACTTTACCTAGATTGATATCCCTCTTTCTCCATTTCTCAGCTTGCAAAATGGAGTGGGCAATTGTTTAAGGGGAAAAGTGTATGTGCTTTCAAATTCCAGTTCACTTCTCATTAGTGAAAACTGTGGATTGGTGAATACAATTAATCTCCTGAATTATACTTTGCAAAAACAACCAACACTTTTTCTTAGACACAATACAATGCAATTTCATACTAAAGAAAGAATGTTACCTATTAGCATAATCATGCCCATTATTTTAATAACAATAAATGGATATTCATTATCCATTTTTGTGCTGAGAATCATTTGGTGTTTTATTCCTTTCCTATAGACCTGAAGGTATCAAAATGCTACAGCAGTAGTAAATAGTAATCTTTGTTGTTAGAGAAAGAGGCAATGGTTTTGATTACATTCTGGTTTGAGGTAATCTGATTGTGATAGCATGTTTGGTGAGAAATTTGTGATCAATTTCTTTCTAACATCATTATTTACTGTAATATTTTTAAAATCTATCAACCTGTCCTTTTAAGGCTTCTATAACATGAACCTATCCTGAATATTTTTGTTTCTGTCTAATGCTTTATTTCTTTTCTTGATTTTTAACTTTCCATCTAAACCATTACTTTTTCTCAAAATAGTGTAAACCATCATCTCTATGTAAATGAGTATACTAAAAATACATCATAATACCTATCCTGAGATCCAGTCTCAAATTTCCAACTTTTTTCTGGCCATTTTCATTTTTTACTTTGTTTTATGTATAAAGAAAACAAACAAAAACTAGCAAAAACATAAAACTGGCTCCAGCTCTTATGCCAGGTGCTATGAGTAAAGGACAAAGTTCCTGACTCAAGTTTCTCCTATTTATGTCAAAGGTACTATTGTCAAACTGATCAAAAATTTGTGGTCACAGACATTGTCATTACCTTGGTTTGCCTATGCCTACTCATATACTTAAATTCTTTTTTTCAATGATTTCTCAAATTTATTTCTACTTTCTTTACCTTCTGTGACCCTTACACTTAAAAGGTGAAAGTGGAAGACAGTCTTTTGATTTTTTTTTTGAATGCACAAAATACATGTTATTCCCTGACTCTCCTTTTGATGGATAGCCCTTTTTTGAGCAATTTACAATCATTTTCTTTTTTGATTATTTATGAATAAAGTTCAAATTCTCACATCTAATATTCTAAATCCTTCATAATTTGTCCCAACATTTACTTCTAATTGTATATTCAAATATTCTGAAACAATCACATTATTCTGTCTAATGTATGCATTCTATACTTCTGAATGTTTTCTATGCTTATCACCAAATTTGCACTTGTCTTTTGAATAATCCATAATGCATTTTTCATCTTCCCCATATTATTGAAGAGTATCACATAATAGGAAGCTCTATTAACCTTTCTTTGATCATCATAGTCCACGATGGCATCTCCCTCCTTAGAAGATCCCCAATATATATTGCATAGCACTTTTCTGAAAGTTACTTTTTTGTGTTTATGTTTCTTATGTTCAGACTTGGATATTAAGTGACCTGAAGATAAAAGATCTGTATTCTACATCTTCTGTTCACACATAGCACTTACTGAGGAACTATACACATAGCAATTCTATAAAGTAGGGAGTGTTTTCTAGAAAAGAAGTGACTATGTGTTGATACGTCTCCTTCAATTTTATTAATAAACTTTCATTTACGAATATGTATTAAAAGTGTCTTTAGGCTCTCTTTGTATGTTTGACCCATTTCGTGGTAAATGTGAACAGTGGAACAAGATAGTTGCAGTGCTAAACTTAGACTAAAGGGAAGAGGAACTCAGGTTCTAGGCCAGCCCTTTAGAGTGAACCACAAACCACTTTCACCTTCCTCCCATGGGGGCTGGGAAGGAGAGTAGAAGGGGAAGTGGCGATGAGTCCACAAAACAAGTGAATGTGCTCATGTGAAACAAGACTCATGCCCATCCATGTGCTATGCCAATGTACCAATACTCAAGACTCTGGATTCCTCTTTAGGAGAAATAAAAGGTCCTAAGATTGCTTTCAAGGTCTATTCAAGGCCATTCCCTACACCAGCCTTTTTGAAGGTGGACTGGTGTGTACAACCCTTGGTCAAAGGGATGTCTCATGAGGAGATGCTGGACAAATAGGCTGCAGTATCTTGGATGTAACAAACCCCTCATCCAGCAAGATGGAAAGAGGGGTGGAAAGAGAATGAAATTGGCTATGACCTGGGGCCTCTTTCCAATCCTCACATTCCATTGTGGACCTCTCCTGGCAGTCCAAGAATGCAGATTTCAATTTAATTTTTTAAGTTGTTATGAAGTTGTCAATGTAGGAATTTCAATACACTTTAACAGTTCTTAAGCTTGATTGATGTCTTATAAATATGTAGTCATTAATATGTGGGTCTAGATTTGCAATACTTCTGAACTTCCACAAATGTTAGGGACAGGCCTGAATAGCTAACTTTTTTCTTTTATTTCAAGTTGACTTAATATTATAAAAAACATTTTATTTTTTCCTTTAATAGAGTCAAATATACAGTTTCTGTTTTCATCCAGTAACTTTAGCAGAGACTTTTTCTCTCTGCTAGTGAAAGAGAGGACTCAGGTTTAGAGGAAATTTGCTTTTTCAGAACATTTGATCTTCGTAACACATCAAGATGTATTTAGAGAAAAGAACACACAGACTTAGTACTATTTATAAATAGCTTCTTTACCCTTACTCCTAAATTAAAACAAAACTAAAACCTAGGAAAAGCACTTGCATTATACAAAATTTATACTTTAGCTATTTCTACATTTAAAAATAAAATAATATAAATCACCAATTTTACGTTTTAAGCAAAAGTGTATTCTCAAACTTTATATTATTCAGCAATACCTATTACTCTCCAAGTATATGCATGTATCATTTCTCTCATTTAAAGTCTCTGACCACATCTAGAAAAAGTGAAAAATGGTGCAGTCATTACATTTTGGTTGTGGAACTGGGAATTTTATTTAGCACAATATAAATAATTAGGGAGTAATTCCTTTTATACTATTTTTCATCCACTTTTTTTTTTTTTTTTTTTGAGACGGAGTCTTGCTCTGTCGCCCAGGCTGGAGTGCAGTGGCGCGATCTCCGCTTACTGCAAGCTCTGCCTCCCGCGTTCACGCCATTCTCCTGCCTCAGCCTCCAGAGTAGCTGGGATTACAGGTGCCCGCCACCAGGCCTGGCTATTTTTTTGTATTTTTAGTAGAGCTGGGGTTTCACCATGTTAGCCACAATGGTCTCAATCTCCTGACCTCGTGATCCGCCCGCCTCGGCCTCCCAAAATTCTGGGATTACAGGCGTGAGCCACCGCGCCTGGCTTTTTTTTTTTTTTTTTTAACCGTTTCTGATTTACTGAAACCCAGTCTGTATTTAATAAGGCTTAAACATTTGTATGTTTAATATAACAATATGTCCTCAGTGGCAGCTTGATTAGATTTGGATTTTAAAAGTCACTGTAGAAGGGAGGAAAAATATCAAAGAAGGGATACATACTGGTGACAAATACTTTTAAAATAGCATAACTCAAGTAACGCAAGTCAGTCTCGCCAGCCAAATGAAAATTATAGGTGGAAATCTCACACTGAACCTGGAGAATTTCCCGTTCCTGTTAAAGTATTTTCTTACTGATGTATTCATAAAACAATACTGTCCATTTATGTCTTTCAGAAACGATTCTATTATTTTCATTAACATACCTGTATATTAGAATAAAAACTTTACAAGGTTATGTTTTCATTTTCCACTTTTTTTTCTTGTTTCTGTATTACTTTTTATATCAGTTTAATTTTGGCATTTAACCTAGCTATCTAATACCTTGGCAGTCAACACATTTCCCACCCTTGCTCTTGAATATAATGCTGTCAGAGAGTGGGATATGAGAAAAGCAAGAGGTTTTCTAAAAGGAAAATTATCTATCTATCTATCTATCTATCTATCTATCTATCATCAGGAGAGCCTAGAGACATTATAAAAGAATTAAATTCAAATTGTAAGATCATAATAAAGTTTAACACATCATGATTTATAAACTACAGATATAAACTAAGTAACTTGTTTAAAGCTCCAGATGCTGCTTTCCATAATATTTTAAGTGAAATACTGTGTGTATAACTTAAAACCATTAGGCCACGAAGACCATGGAGAATATTTTAAGAATCAGTCACAATCTGAAGTGACATTATTGTTTTTTGTTTCAGTACACATTAGTACCAATTAGTTAATTTTAATTTGTGGAATGAATCAGTAAACAATAAAAGGGTATGAAAGGGTAAAGCACAGTTTAAAGTGTTTTGGAAAATGTGGTCAGAAAACAACATAAGATCAGTAGAATAATTCTAGCATATCCATAGAATAATTAATATTATCACTATAGTAAACATGATTTAGCTCACACTATTTGGCGAAAAGAAAATTCACTTGCCGTATTCTGCACATTGTGTTATTTCTGCTCAAATGACATACTTTCAATAATTTGATTGAAATCATGTGACTCTCCTGAACAATCATGTTCTATCTTCTGGTTTAAGGCTATGTAGATATTAAGAGACATACAGTGATCCATCTTCTTTGTGTGGAAATGATCAAACACTACAAGTCAGTTAATGTGTTTTCAATGGTGAGGGGTTAATACCAAAAGATTTATATTAGAATTGTATAGCATCTATATTTCTAATCCTTAGTTATTTGTATGAACAATTAGAAGTCTGACCTGTTTGGAACTTATTTTGGGGTAAATAGGTTCCCAAGCCTTCTTGCAAAGGACATGCAAATAATGAAAATATGATATTAAGAACCACTCCACTGTTATTAAATGAAGATGAAAAGAATTAAATCAAAGTCTGCCATAGAATAATTTATAGATACCATATTGAACATTTTCTAAATATGCCCACATTCTTGGAGTGGCAGATAATGTGTTAATATTATAATAAGCATGAGTTAATAAACATTATGCATATTCTCTACTACAGATGAGTATACTTTTTGGCCCTTTTAATGAAGGATGGGGAATAAGCAACTCCCTGTAAGAAGAAGAACAGAAATGGATCCATTTTTGACTTGAAACTTTTATAAAAATAGCTGTATTTAATAATGTTTTACTTATCATGGGTACATTTTTTTTAACTTGTGTTCATAAGGTAGATTCATTCAGCAAAAGAGTAACCGGTACTAGAAGAGAAGTAAGAAATTCATGGCTGAGTTAATATAGTTAAACTGTATCCGTCTGAAACTCTTTCTCTCTGAGGAAGCTTTTAAAATTATTTTTTCATTTTTCCAGACCTTTTTTCTTGATCTCTGTATTTTCCTCTAAAGCAAAGACTATCAATGACATTCTTAAACTTTGAAAGATTTAGGATGAAGGGAATATTTACTTATATTTTAGAAATAGTGCAATTTTGGAGACTGAGAAGTCTCTCAGGTTATTATCATCAATGTAGAACTTACCAGAGATGACTTTGGCTTTCTAAAGCATCTAAAATAAGCTATAGTATGCCCATGTTCCTGCAGCATTGGACTTACATAATTTCAAATGTTAATAATACCGTTCATGGATGCCTTTACAGGTATGCATAAACAAAATATCTCATTTTTTTAAAATCATTCTGCCCTCCATATGAAACTATTGGTCTATTAGATATATTTTTATTTTTTAACTGTTGATTTGAAATTATTATAGATTTACAGAAGGTTGCAAATATAGTACAGAGAGGTCTCTCATACTCTTCACCTAGATTCCCCAGTGGTTACATTTTTTTTTTATAGCTACAGTAAAACATTAAAACCAAGAAATTGACATTGAAAAAATGTGTATGCATACATCTGTCATTTTATTACATGTGTAAATTCTTGTGACCACTACCACTATCAAAATATCTAACACTTCTAGTGAAGTGTAAAAATCTTATCTTGTTGGAAGTCTCTTTACCCATCCTTGTTTATATAATTTTTAAAATTTTTCATTTAGGTATTGATAACCATTTCGATGTTACAGTTTTTGATTCAAAAGTCAAACATAATTTAGAAAACTCAAGAAGAAAAATCTGTTGTACTTACTCATATTTTTGCCTTTCTGTTACTCTTACATTTTTCTGATGATTTCAGGCCCCTTATTCATTTTATGTTTCAAGAACTTTTTGCTTTTCTTTAGGGTAGGTCTGTTTGCAACCAATTCTTAATTTTTCTTCTTCTGAGAATTTATTTAATTCTCCTTCATTTCTAAAGGACATTTTTGCCTAATACAGAATACTGGATTGACAGTTCTTGTTTTGCAGTACTTGAGAAATATATCACTTCCTTTTGGCCACCATTATTTCTGACAGGAAATCATTGTCATTCAAATTGTTTTTCTTCTGGAGAGATGAAGCATTGTTTTACCTCACTGTTTCCAAGATTTTTTCTTCTGCTGTTTTCTGAAATTGCCCTGTTTCTTTGTTGATTTTTTTGTGTCTGTCCCATTTTAGATTTTCTCATTTCTTGAATCTGTAGTTGTATGTCTTTTGCCAAACTCGAAAACGTTTTGGACATTATTTTTTCAAATATATTTTTAGCCCAACCCACTTTTGCCTTTCCTTCTAGGACTCTGGTGACATGAATAGTAGATTTTTTGCTATAGTCTTATAGGTCCTTGAGGCTCTGTTCTTTTTTTTTTTTTTTTTTTTTCATTTTCAGTCTATATTCCCTCTGGTCTTTGGATTAGTAAATTTTTAATGTCCTATTTTCAAGTTCACTTATTCTTTTCTCTATTTCCTCCATTACCCTACTGAGCCATCAAGTATTTTTTAAAGTTTCAATTATATTTTTCAGTGCCAAAATTTCTATTTGTCTCTTGGCATCTTCTATTTCTTTGTAAAGCTTTCCATTGTTTCATTTGTTCCAGCATATTCGCAATTGCTCATTAAAACATGTTTATGGTGGTGACTTTAAAATCCTTGTGAATAAATCTAATTTATGTGTTATCACTGTGTTGGCATGTGTTATCTCATTCAAGATGAGATTTTTTTCTGGTGCTTGACATGCTGAGTAATTTTCAACGTATCTAGGGTAATTTGGATATTATGCTATGAGGCTCTGTATTTTAACTCTTGGAAATAAACCTCCTGTGACACCACACATGGTGAAAGTGGGGGTGCCTTGTTATTGCTAGGTGGTGATAAAAATTTATCCCTGCTCAACCACCTTTGGAGAGTGGGGGATTTTTTTCTTGTTTCTGCTCCCACTATGGCCTACACTGAAGGGAAGGCAAACATCAGGAGGCCTTGGACCTTTTTACCACTAGATGATGGTGAAAGTTCCACCTTCTCACTTAGTTTACTTTGACACCTAAGGAATCTGGTGGAGAAGGACGGGGCACATTGTAACTACCTGGCAGAGAAGAAAGTTCTAGATTCCCACACGGCCTTCTCTGATATCACCCAGACATTGATAGGCGGCAGGGCCTGTTAGTTTGTGTGTGTGTTTAAATTACACATTACCAATAGTATCACTTTGCATAAACCTATACTAAACTAAAAGCACGGACCCCACAGAAGATATGTAATTAAAGTTATCTTGTAGTATGCAGGTCTTTTTCACAGATGCATTCAGTGTGTGGTTTAAAAGGAAGTTAAAAGTTTAGTTCTAGTTACCATGCTAGAAGAACTTAATATGTAAAAGATGACATCATCAAAGACAGTGAAAGTCCTCTTTAATGTCTCAAGGCTTTTCATTGTGTATCACGAAATTTTGGTTATCTGTTTCTTTTCAGTAAATATTTAGTCTATTTTTCTAAGTTTA
The DNA here is from genome assembly GCF_000001405.40 of Homo sapiens. Taxonomy (NCBI): domain Eukaryota; kingdom Metazoa; phylum Chordata; class Mammalia; order Primates; family Hominidae; genus Homo; species Homo sapiens. The sequence goes on along the minus strand of NC_000009.12, from coordinate 63,176,692 downwards.
ATATATTAGGATTTTCATTTTCATTAATCCTTAGTGTTTGTTCTACTGATATTTGCACATACAGTATGAGAACATACATTTCAATTGATCATTTTTTAAAAATTTCTTTGAGATATATCAAAAGTTCTATACCATATAAAGGAAAGTTATTCTACTATTCTAAAGCAGCTCATAAAATACAATGTACAAATAGGACAAAATACATACAAGAAGCGGGAGAAATGTTCCTAAGCAGCTCCACTGATACAGTGGAGATATAATCTCTCCTCTCTATTGAATGAATTTGCTGAGGGTCGGTGCATATAGTAGTCAATGGAATACAAACCAATAAAAATATGATAGATAAATAGAATGAAAAGTATCCAAGGGTCAAGTGCTAAATCTGTTCTGCTGATTCCAGCTGGTAATTCCTTTTCTTCTTTAACCCACATGAAGACACTCTACTAAACAGTCATGTATATCTCAGGCATACTGGTTTTCATTTGTAATTTTCATTTTATTGCACTTTCAATTTTCAGGTTTTGTCCATCTTTCTTCCCCTTGGCCCTTCCATCACTTCTGCTACTTGATGAATTCTGTCTTAAACAGTAGCTAGAATATAAACATTTAATAAAATATTAACCTGATTGCTTGCCCTCCCTATAAACAATAAAATGACATACATGAACAAATGACAAATACAATATTTTATGTTGTGTTTATTTCTACCTTTCTCCAAGGCTTCCTCTAATCTTTATTAAAGTTTATTATAGCAAACTACTATCAAATATTTCCATGCATTTAACTGGTTGTTGTAACATCAACACAAGAGAGCAAATGAAACTTGTGAAGCTTATACTTTCTATTGCTCTAAGGTGTCTATGCAGATCATTATGTATTCTTCACCACAGGTCAGTTGCTTAGCGACCAGAGAAGTAGAGAACTACTAATTGAAAGTATTCTGTATTGCTGGCAAGGCTTGCTGCAGGACGTTGAACTTGGAAACAGCAGAGACTGTGTCAGATAAAAATGTTGCAGAGGATGAAAGAAAAATAGTTGCAGCATTATCATACTAGGAATGGTTATTATTTACTTTATGGTAAATTCTGCAAAATGCTTTGCTGTGCTTCTGTTTTATAAGATATTAAAATTGATTTTACTATTAAGGATCATTTACACAATCAGATTAAAAATCAGAGTTGTGGCATCTATTTTTAAAAAGTAAAACAGGACACAAAGGAGAAAAAGAAGAGGAGGACAAAAGAGAAGAAACAGAAGCAACAGCACTAAGTTAGATCCAGGTCCCTAAAGATAAGTAACAATATCTGTATGAACTTTTCTGATTGCTTATTTTATTTTGTAATGAAAACAAAGAAAGAGGATGAGGAGGAAGATGAGGATGAGGAGACTGAGGAGGAAGGCAAGGAGAATAAGGAAGAGGAGCAAGAGGTAAAGGAGAAGAAAAGAAAAAAGAGAGAGAGAAGATTATTAAAAATCAAACTAAATACATATTGGAAAAACAATTGAAAAACAAACCAAAAGTAGCAACACTCTAACAGAGCAATAGTATAAACAAATTTATTCAAAGCATTAATTTTATATTAGTCTGTATCAGGCTTTCTAACCTGTACATTATGTAAAATTAGGATTATTTTCTCTCTTCTTTCCATGTAATGTACAATTCATGTATCCATCAAAAATAGATGAGTGGTCATTGTGTGACATCTTTCACTTAATAGAAAAGACTAGGTCAGAAAAGAGAAAATGTCCTTCACAAGACCAAGACTAAGTTGGCTCAATTTTCCTGATGGCTTATTTGCTACAAGAATTCTGATATAATTCTGTATTTACAGTCTCATTCTCTCTCTCACACAATCCACAGGCATACAAAGTGTGTGTGTGTGTGTGTGTGTGCACATGCGTTTGACAAAGAGAGAGAGAAAAAGACTTGAATAACTGTTTCTTATGAGAATTCATTTGTGGTAATGGTTGCTACTTGTATTTCTATAAAGATTACTCCTAGTAATGATTGAAAAACAGGACATATGTTAATTAAATGTTCAGTGACTTTATAGTTAAATATACATATAATGCACATTCCAAGTTTTTAAAAAAATAACAATCAATAAATAGCTAAATGTTTTAAATCATAACTGGTCAGAATTTAGTTGTTAATATTCAGATACCATTTCAATATCGTGTAGAGTCATTATGAATATCATTTGTCTGCAGTACTCTGAAGATAAAGGTGGTAAAACATGTGTTAGTCAATGGTCTACCTATTATACAGCCTTTTAAAACAAATCCTTGGCATGAGATTTTCATTTGTCTGTTTCTCATAAAAGCTGAGTGTAGAACATCCTAAAAATCCAGTTCAGGTTTTTTATTCTTGTTACATTTCTGCAGAATTTTAATATAACTTTCCTTTTGTGTATTTATGCCTACTGTTTCTATTTACTTACAGGTGGCCTGAATTTTTTATCCAGAGATAAAGTTAATGCAAGAAAGAATTTAAAAATGTATGGTAGATTATCAAAATTCTTAACTTAAAAAAAGGTCAAATCCACCTTTGCTACAGCACACAACCTAATCTTATATCTGTTCATCTTTTTTGTCTTTGTTTTAAAAACACATACTTGATAATCATATTAGATGGTTACAGCTTTCTATTGCTGCATAATAAACCAGTCTAAACATAGCAGCTTAAAACAGCTAAGTAGCACAGATGGACCTGCTCATGATTCTTCAATCTGGGCTGAACTCAGCTGGGTGGCTCATCTCTTCCCTAGATGGTGTCTTCTGCTGGACTATTTAATATGTTTGTATTTAGAGGCAGCTCCATAGGGACTGGAGGATCCTAGCTGGCCCCATTCATATGTTGTGCTGGAATGACTAGAAACTAACTGGGTCTTCCTCTCTATCTTCCCAGTCTTTCATTCCTCCTGGTCTTTTTCATCATAAGGTGTCTCATCCACAAGGACGCTAACCTAGACATCTTTGCACAGTGGCTCAAGGTAAAAGACAGAGTAAACAAAAGCTATAAAGCTTCCTTAAGCCTAGGACTGAAACTTATACAGTGTCTCTTTTAGCTGCATTCTCATGGCTCAACTAATTCACAAGGCTAATCTATTGTCTGGTTGGGAGGATAATGCAAGGACATGAAATCAAAGGACATCCATAATTCATTGGGGACTGTTTGGTAAGAATATGAGTTAAGGCTTAAATTTGTTCGAACACAACTGGTTCTAAAGCATCACATTGTTGTATTAGGTTTCCAGGGTTGTCATAACAAATTACAACAAACTTGATGACTTAAAACAACAGAAATTGATTCTCTCACAGGTCTGGAGGCCAGAAGACAAATGAATGTGTTGGCAGTATTGGTTTCCACTGGAGACCCAGAAAAAACCCATTCCATGCTGTCAGCAATTCTTAGCGGTTTTTGTCTTTCCAGTCTCTCTGACTCTGTCTTCACATGCCTCCCCGCTTTTTCTGTGTCTTTCTGTTATTCTATCTCTTATAAGGACACTCATTAGATTTAGAATTTATTGTAATAGAGGATGAGCACACTTTATTACCTTATTACATCTTCAAAGATGCTTATTACAATTGAGGTCAGACTGTGAGATTCTGGGTGGACAAACCTTTTGGGCAAACACCATTCAACTCTTACGATTTTCTATCAAAATGTATAATTTTCTCCCATACTTTTTCAGTAATCTCCACCATAAAGAACTTGGATTTAGAACACTTTTTTTCCACATGTATTTAAGCAATATTTCTCAAAGTATATTCCTGAGAAAAGTATTTCAGTTATTCTATGAGTAAAAAGTTTCTTGGTCACGCAATTTTGGAAATTACTGCTTACTATTAACACCTCCTGGATATTTGCTTTGTGCATTAATTTATTAATGAGAAATCATATAGGAAAATATGCTAAAATTTTAGGAAGCACATGTTTTTCCCAAACACCAATAAACACTAAATATCGCCAATTTTATTCAAATGATACCTATCAACACCTTACAGAAAAAGGGTTATGTGTACCAAAGGTCCTGATTTGACCTATTGTGTTAACTACATGATATCTGTTTCAAAAATATAAACAAAATTACCATGAGTATTACTAAACATTTTAGTAATCTGTGCCCTTGCAATTCAGCAAGCCGTTTCAACTACCTGGAATTTTCTTTCTCCTTTTTATGGATAACTCCTACTGGTCCTTTAGATATGAGATTAGAGGTTATTTTCCAAAGAAAGCTTTTCTTCACTCCCCAAAGATTCAGTTAGATGTTCTTCCAGTGATTTTTATAGCTCTCTGTTCTTGGTGGTAATATATCACTGAAACACTCTACTGTAATTACCTTGGTTTTTGTTCTTTATTTAGTGTTCAACCATATGCTTGCTGAAGTTTAGGATGTTATTCGTCATTGATTTTTAAGACACAACGGATATTTAATCAATGCTTATTAAATGAATAGATGAGAAAATTTGACATTAGGTAGAAATCCTTTAAAATATTTTGCATGGAAATCACTTTTTGCTTTCAAAGTAATGTAATTAAAGACTTTTAGTTCCCACAGTTTGCAACAATAATCTTAGGAACTTAACTATTTGTTTTGTGAATATCTAGCACTAAACAATGAGCTAGAAATTTGATAAAACAGTTCAAATAATTTTTAAATCTCTTTGACTCAACTAGTCATGACTGAATTCATTTATACGATTAGGATATTAACACGTCTTTTAAAAAACAGTGTTAAATGGAGCTGGTCAAGCTATGCATTTTAAGAAGAAAAAGTACTCTCTTTTTAATAGGCTCTGCATAAGTAAGGCTATCCTCTTTTTCATAGTTTTTCAGAAACAATAACTTTGTCATTTTCTATACTTATTGATAATTTCCCCAACATATTAACAATTAAGAAATAAAGTTATGGCAGCCTAATTAGTCGAGTCAATACAGGAAGTAAATTGTTAAGACAGTGGGCATACCATCTTAGTTAGTAAGATATGGACATTCAACCACTCTCTTTCCCTACCCTAAGACACACACACTGTCAGAGAAAATGTTATGATGTGACTGAGAACTTTATGCTCAAAGCTTTCCAAAATTTCATATATAAATATTGTACTTTTATCAATATAAGATTTCACACTGTAAGAAAACATTGGCATAGGAGTCATTCTCTTTTACACAGTTTGAAAATGAATTTTAATGACACTCATATCTGATAAATAATATAATGTCATGGAGTAAAAGTTATTTTCTTGATATAAATATTTTATCATTTGAGTATATTCTCCCTGAAATCTAGGTGTCAGTTTAACAAAATGCATTTCTCACTTCACTGAATATGACTCCAGGATAAATAAAAAAGAACATTCATATTCAAAAAAAGTAATTTATTTACCTAGTTTATCCCAAGATTTATACTGTCAATGCTTTCATTACAAATTAAGGGCTAAAATATATAGTAAGTTCCTGAAGCTCTACCAAATGTTATCTATACTAAGTAGAACTAAATTAAATCATTGTGTTAACTTTTTATTCCTATTAAAGGATTTAGTCTTCTTCTAGTTTAGCTATAATAACAAAAGCAAATGTACATCCCTGGTTTCTTGCCAATTATAGCTTGGTCACACCTGCCTAAGTAGTGTTTTATAATAAATACATGGTAAGTAAATTAGTATCCAACCCTCAGGCCTACATGGAATAAATTTGGTGGGGTACTTCTCCCTTGGGAAAAAAAATGTTGTTAGCATTTTTTGTTTGCTAGTATCCTTTAGACCTACTACCTATAAAAACCCCTCTAAATGAAGCCTCTGGCAGCATTTCAATAAGCTAACTTCCATAGGTTTCTTCAGTTCATGGGGGTATTTTCCTCCTTTAATTTGCCAGCAGAGATCTGACATGAAAAAGTTCAGGTGCTGTTTTATAATATAAGAAAACATATACATGAGACTCCTTGTTCCTTGTCATAATCACATGTACAGTGCTTTAATTTCAACAAATCATATAGAAAAAAGAAGGTTGGTTTAAGTCATCATCACAAATAAAAAAGCCCATAAACCTACACCTATATTGTGGTCTTGTAATTCACCACTTGTAAGCTTGTAAAACCTAAAACTTAATATGCCTACAAATTTTGAATTTTTTAGAATATACTCAATTTGCTTCTACTTCTTCCATTGGGGTTCATGGCTATCTTACATTGTAAGACAGTTAGTAGACCCAGCAGAAATGACTTCAAAATATTTCTGGTTTCTGTGAAAGTTTGAAAATCTGTTGACTCCCTGGTTGTTCTGTTTGGAAGCCTTTTATGCGTTGCTTTCCCTTTCTTATTTCTCCTTACACACATACAAGCTCTTTTCTTGCCTATTGTGTGTACTTGGCTGATTTTCTGGGCACAGTGCCCAGTTGGTTTAATGTGTGCTTATTATTGTCTATAGCATTCCTGATTCTGTTTTGGAGTTGGGTATTCTATGAATTATTAATGATTATTATCATCCTTTAGAATCAACTTTGCTTTTGGAATTTAGAAACAAAAGATGAACATTGAGCTCTATGGGTAATCACCAGCAATATCAAGGCCATGTCCAATGCTTGACTGTAAGGGAAAGGAATAGTGAATATACTGAAGTGAACAAAACAGGATTACTCCTATAAACAGATAAAATTAACAGAAGAAAACTTAAAGTTCAAAATGTATTACTTGAAAAAATGCTCGTAATATTATTTTACCATACCCATTTTACCATTTAAATATTACCAGTAGTTTTTTTCCTCAATATCCATTGATAAGCTTATTCTTTAAAAACAGAAGTAGGGAAAGTGCTAGCTTTTTTGCTTCTTATTCACAGGAACTTGTGCACCTGATGTAGTATAGCACATTCTCAAACATCTAATAGGTCACTTCTGAATTTTTCTCTGAATTTTGAATAAGATAAAAGTAATTTGAATTTAGCTATCATTTCAAAGAAGAAAAAAGTTGCATTTGCAAATTATTTACACGAGCACAAATTTTTAGAGAAAGAAATACTAGAGAAAGAAAAACATAGAGGAAAATAGGTGGTGAAAAAATTCTTTGGAAGTGCAAAAGAAAGAAAACGTTTATTGGCAACGACACATGATTATTAATCCCCATGTCTAAGTAAATTTGGGGTCTTTACCCTTGCTATAGTTTGGACATGGGTTATTCTCTCCAAAATTCATGTCAAAATTTAATTTCCCATGTAAGGTGTTAGGAGATCGTTCTTTGAAGAGGTGATTAGGTCATTAAGACAAATTAATAACTTTCTGGTGAAACTGGGTTATTTTTCATGATAATGGATTAGTTCTCATAAGAGCTGGTCATTCTAAAGAAAGTTGCCTCTTTTATAAAGCAATGATTTGCCTGATTTCCATTTTGTTTCTCTGCCTTGCTGTGACATAGCATGTGGCTCTCATCAGAAGCTCAACAGATGCCAATGCCATAGTCTTGGACTTTCCAGCCACCAGAACCATAAGCTAAATAAACCTTTTTTTCTTTATAAATTACCCAGTCTCAGGTGTTGTTACAGCAACACAACACAGACCAAGACAACACTACACCTGTAATACGTAATATTTTGAAATTAGATTTTAGCTTAGGAACAATACATACCCAATAAAGTGGAGCTCAGAAGACATCACTTAAGAATTGTTAAATAAGTGCCATCTTTTTGTTTTTATACTGAAAAACAAATGTATCGATTCTCAATTATTTTCTCCCTAATGTAACAATAATAACATAATATTGTATTTTCCAAAACCATTCCTCCTTTCTCTCAATTGTATGTATTTTTCCTTTTTTCTTTCTCCTTTTTCTTTTTGGAGTATGATAAATATTTTTAAATCTATCCTCCTGAAATTGCATCTAGGATTTGGATATATTTTGCTATAAATCTTTGCTTCCTTGGAATAAAAATATTCTCTACATTTTTATTATTCTAATGTTGATTCAGCTTTGGAGTTAATTTATATGCAAAGCAAATAATTTACCCAAACTTGTAAAGGATATGCATTATCAGAACACAACACCTGCAGGATTTCACATCACGACTATCTGTTCCATTACTTCCTCCATGTTAATGAATTCAAGTCTTGATTTTCTCCAAAGAAAATGGGGCAATGAAAATTGCATTTCCTAAAATTCTCCTTGAATTATGTTTTAACATTTCAAGTGTGTTAATGTAATGCTTTAGAAGCTAAAGGGAATGATTATATAGGAAGCTAAAGTCATCTATGTCTATCCTCGGGATTGATTAAGTTTGCTATTTATACATGTTTCCCCCACAACATTGCTGTGTTGGAATTTATCAGGATAGGAACCATCTAAATTGAAAATGCCCCTTCGTATATTTTTATCACAGTGAAAGTCAAAGCCTAGAATAACAGAAAGGCACAAAATTAATATCATCAGGAAACAATTTACTCAGCTAATTAGCATAACATTCTCATATAAAAAGACAGATGGATTAAGGGATCAGGTCATTCATAGCCTGCAGCAAACTGCTTCAGTCTTTAATCCCCTGCTGTTACCTATCAAATGGTACTCTTTTTATGGATTTGGACAGATCCCTGGGAAGATTTAGATTCTCCCATTGGACTGATTCATCTTGTTCCTTTAACTTTTTATTGATGATATATTTCATTATTTCCTGACTAAAACAACAGTAAGAACTCTAAATTAGTTAGCAGCTAAAGAATTGAACTAAAGGCGTATCTCCACATTTCTCATATAGTAGCTTCTACCACACACACACACACACACACACACACACACACACACACACACACGATGCCCTGCAGTGCTAACAAATAGGCTCCAGCTTGAAGACAACCATAGAAGAGTTATATATATATATATCGTACTTCAATAAAAATTGGGATTTCATGCTACATATGCAACATTCAAGACAATTAGGAATAGCACAGTAACAGCCAGTAGTAACTATGAAAAATATCAAATTCTTTACATGGAAGTAGTCAATCAGCATAGATTATAGATTTCCATGAGTCCTTTAAAAATGTTTCCAAAAATAATGTCTAAGAAAACTATTAGTGAAGATGTTTGATCTATTGTATAGAAACTAAAACCAACAAATGAAAGAAAAGGCCTCTGGGAAAAAAAAAATTATTTTAAAGTTTTAGGCTACAGGGAGATAATTTATATCCTTTTGACTATTGTATTAGCTTTCTAGGGCTGCCATAACAAAGTATCACAATATAGGTGGCTTAAAAAAAAAAAACAAACATTTGTTGTCTCACAGCTCTGTAAGCTAGAAGCCTGAAATCAAGGTGTTGGCAAGATTGGTTCCTTCTGAAAAGTTCTGACTTAAAGTCCGTTCCATGTGTGTCTTCTAGTTTCTGGTGGTTGCCAGCAATTTTTGGTGTTCCTTGACTTGTGCATGCATCACCCCACTGTCTGCCTCTGTCATTACATGGCCTTCTTCCTTATATTTCTTTATGTCTCTCTGTGTCCATATTTTCTTTCTTTATAAAGAAACCAGTCATTGAATTAGGGCCCATCCCATTTCAATATGACCCTGTTTCAAAATAACATCTGCAATAACCTATTTCCAAATAAGGTCACATTCACAAGTATTGGGATTAGTATTTCATTTTGGAGACCCGATTCAACACACAATGACTATAAACAATCAGAATGTTAGTTTATTAATTTATAACAAGAACTATGTTATATAAAATAAAATTCTTACTTCAGCATAAACAGTACATACTTTCCACCCAAACGCACATCTGTATGGGAAAACAAAATGTAGTCACATGATAGCTGGGTATGTATTAGATCAGAAAAATAAAGTTCAATGATTAGAATATTTAACACCATCAAGCTAATATAAATGTGCACATGCATTTATTTTTATTGTAGGAAGGCTTACCAACTTAACTGGCAATTTCACTTGCCCAGACTTCCTGCCTCAGGAATTGGACTTCCACTTAGGTGGAAAAGAGATTTATGCCTTAAAGATTCATCTGTAGCTCAGTTTCCATAGGCAACTAATTCTCCTTTCATTGACAGACTCTTTCTATAGCTATGTTAATAAATTCAGTTCCAACATAGTAAAATCCTCTGACTTTACCCCCCTTAGGTTAGTTTACAGTGCTTCAGAAGGCATTCTTTCTTCTCTTAGTTTTATATATTTATAAAGGGTTATATAAAACTAAGAGGGTTGTATTTTTGTAGCCATCTTTCTGATTATCCCCATGTACTGAGAATATGTGTGTGTGTGTGTATTGATACAGTTTATTTAGATGTGTGTGTATATATATATATATATATGCAAGACTATATGTATATAGTCTTGTCCTATTTGGAGGCCCATTAAAGTATTTTTTCTTCCCATTCTTTTACTTCAACTATGATATACAATTAATTCTGTTATACACACACACATACACATACATATACACATACATATATATGTACGTGTGTGTATACATGTTTTAATAATCAAAGTTACAATTTATTTTGAACATATTATTTGCCAGAATTTATATGGCATACTTTGAATTCACTAACCTATTTAATCTTTAATATCTAAATGGGATAATTATTATTATTTATTTTTCAAAGATGGGGTAACAAAGGCTTCTGTTACCCCTCAATGTTGCCCATTCTCTACAGACTGTATAATAGAAGTTAAAATTATTTTTGCCCAACATCAAATATCTTGCATCATACTGCATTCCTTTCAGCAACCTGCATTTTTCAGCATCCTGCAATTTCCCTATAACCTGGAAATTTTGAACCTCCATGTCTTCGTGTGTAATATTTTCTGCATGAAAAATGTGTCATTTCAACTTATCTAACTTTTGCTTACTATCTAAGGTAAGGTAGAAGTGCCAACTTTTTCAAGGTTTTAGATAAAAGGTGAAAATAATAGTCTCTTGGTCCACACTCACATAGCCCTTTGTTTATATTAAACACTATATTATATTATGCTATATTAATAGTCAGCTGTTTATTCATCTCCTTCAGCAGACTCTAAAGGCCATTAGGGACTTGCTAATTCATTTACTAATTAATTAAAGAAATTTGAGGAGAATATCAAGAATAACCCTCTACTTGTTCCCGGCCACCATTCATCACTCACTTTCTTAATTGTTCATTCACAGTGTACATATACGGTGATGTCAGAAACGTTACACCATACTTCCATGAGAAACAACTTTATTAACTGGAGCACTGTGCTTGTATACACTTCCTTTCACCTTTAATTTTACAGTCTCCTCTCATTTCTGAAATTACTTATTTCAACGCATTTTTTCCCACCCATCTCAGTGAGGTTGTTTCATATATTTTCAATACAGTTATAATATTTTGTCACACTCTGCATTCCATCTTGCAATCCCTCTACTTCCTAAAGGATAGTTTTTTTTAAAAGTTATATAAATTAATGTTTCCTCCTCAAGCTCAAAAACTCTTACGGATTTTGAGAAATGCATAATGTTATGTCCACCATTACAATATCATATAAAATAGTTTCAGTACAGTAAAAAATTTGTTTTCATGTTTCACATATTTAACCCTACTTCCTCTCCCCTCACCTCTGGAAGCACTAATCTTTTATACTATATTGTTTTGCCTTTTCTACCATGTCATATATTTAGCAATATATAATACGAGGCATTTGCTGACCAATTTCTTTCACAGAGCAATAAATATTGAATATTCATGTATTTATTCCTGTAGATTTATATTTATTTCTTTTTTCTGGATGTACCAGTATATCAATTCACTTACTTAAGGTTTAAGGCCATGTAGGTTGCTGTCCATTTTTGATAATTATAAAAAAGAGCTCTGATAAACACTCACATTTTTATGTGATATAAATTGTCACATCATTGGGATAAATACCTAGAAGAATGATAGCTGAAGTGCGTGGTGAGACGATATTTAGATTTGTAAGAAACTGCCAATCTGTCTTCCAGCGTGCAGTACCATTTTTAAAATTCCCTTCAGCAAACAGCTACTATTGCTCTACATTTTCACCAGAATTTGTAATACTTCGGTTCATGGATTTAAGCCATTTTAACTAATGTGTGGTAGTATCACAATTGTTTTAATTTGTGTTTCTCTAAAGAAAAAAAATACTGAGCATATTTTTATATGCCAGTTGCCATGGGTATTTCGGGGGCAGGGGTGAGGTGTCTTTTCAGATTCTATGCACATTTGTAATTGGCTTGTTTGCTTTCTTATTCAGTTTTCAGAGTTATTTGTATGTTTAGATACCAATACTTTATTAGATATATGGTTTACAGATATTTTCTTCTAGTTTGTGGCTTGTCTTTTAACTCTCTGGAGTCTTTCACAGAGCAGAAAATTCCATTTTAAATTTAACAAACTCTAACATCATTTTTTCTTTTATAGCTAGAACTTTTCGTATTAATATTATATCTAAAAATCCATTATCAAACCTAATGTCACTCATTACATGTAAAGCATACTTTCTTTTTCAACTATTCTAGTGGTTCCCCAGAGTATCCAATACACATTTGTTACTAATCTAAGATCACCTTCAAATAGCACTCCACCAGTTCACATATAGTGCAGGTACCTTAATAAGAAGTTACAGCGTGCTGGCAGCCCTTGCTCGCTCTCCGTGTCTCCTCGGCCTGGACGTCCACTCTGGCCGCGCTTGAGGAGCCCTTCGCCCCACCGCTGCACTGTGGGAGCCCGTCTGTGGGCTGGCCAAGGCCGGAGCATGCTCCCTCTGCTTGCGGGGAGGTGTGGAGGGAGAGGCACAGGCGGGAACTGAGGCTGCGCCGCACACGCGGGGGCGGCCCTGCACTCAGAGCGGTCAGGCTGGCGCCACAGACCCTGGGCAGTGAGGGGCTTAGCACCCAGGGCCAGCCGCTGCAGAGTATGCGCTGAGTTCCGCATCACTGCCAGCCCGCCCGCTCTAGGCTCGAATTCTTGCCAGGCCTCAGCCGCCTCGCTGTGGGGCAGGGCCCGGGACCTGCAGCCCACCATGCCCGAGCCTTTCCCCGCCCGCGCCTTCCCCCGTGGGCTCCCCAGCGGCCGGTGGGAGTCTCCCCAACGGCACTGCCCCCTGCTTTGTGGCGCCTGGTCCCATCAACCACCCAAGGGCTGACTAGTGCAGGCGCCTGGCGTGGGACTGGCGGGCAGCTCCCCCAGCGGCCCCAGCGCGGGATCTGCTAGGCAAGCCAGCTGGGCTCCCCAGTGAGGTGGGGTCTTGGAGAACTTTTGTGTCTAGCTGGAGGATTGTATATGCGCCAATCAGCACTCTGTGTCTAGCTCAAGGTTTGTAAACGCACCAATCAGCACCCTGTCAAAACAGGCCAATCAGCTCTCTGCAAAATGGACCAATCAGCAGGATGTGGGTGGGGTCAGGTGAGGGAATAAAAGCAGGCTGCCACAAGGGACAGTGATAACCCGCTTGGGTCCGTTTCCGTGGTGTGGAGGGTTTGTGTTTTTGCTGTTTGCAGTAAATCTTGCTGCACACTCTTTGGGTCCACACTGCCTTTATGAGCTGTGACAACCACCGGGAAGGTCTGCAGCTTCACTCCTGAGGCCGGTGAGACCAGGAACCCACTGAGAGGAATGAATAACTCCAGACGTGCTGCCTTAAGAGCTGTAACACTCACTGCGAAGGTCTGCAGCTTCACTCCTGAAGCCAGCAAGACCACAAACCCACCAGAAGGAAGAAACTCCGAACACGTCCGAACATCAGAAAGAACAAATTCCGGACACACCATCTTTAAGAACTGTAACACTCACCACTAGGGTCTGCAGCTTCGTTCTTGAAGTCAGTGAGACCAAGAACCCACCAATTCTGGACACGTTAATAGAATAGTCCCAGTTCATCCTTCATATCTTTTGTAACATAACCATCAGGCATTTCACTTACCCACATGTTGTAATTGCCCAAAACATTTACTAATATTACTTTAAACGAACATGTAGTTTAAAAAGACTTACAATAAGAAAAATAAAACATTTTTTTTCCTTTTTCAACATACTTGCTTTCTTATTGTAAATACAGGTTTCTGATCTATATCACTCTTCTCCTCCATGAATAACCTCTTTTAACACATTTGCAGGAAAGTTTTCTGGCAATATATTCTGTTAGTGTTTTATTGTCTGGTAAATTCTGATTTCCCCTCTGCTTTTGAAGTATAATTTTGCTAGATGTAGAATTCTAAGTTGGTGCATTTATTCCTTAACATTTCCCGCAACTCTCTTCTTTCTTGCCTGGTTTCTTACTGGAAGTGGGCTGAAATCCTTGCTCTTTTTTCTCTACAAGGAATGTAGTTTTCATTCCAGATTCTGTCAAGATTTTCTCTTTGTCTATTTATTGATTTATTTTATTTTCTTTTATTCTACATATAGGAAATGCTATGTCTGGTGCTGTATTTTTGTTGTTTGTCATGAATTGTATTCTCTGAGCTTCCTGGACCGGTTGTTTGTTTCATGTCATTATGCTTTAAAATTTCTTGACCATTACTCATTTAGATAGATTCTCCTCATTTCTCTCTTTCTCGTCTTTCTGCTATTCCAGTTTCCCATTTTGTACAACTTTAGAAACTGCCCAGCGGGTCCTTGATGTCCTTCACTTTTTTTTTTCCGTTTATTTTTTCTTGGCACTTTGTTTTAAAATGTATTTTTGACCTATCTTTAGTTTCACCAATTCTTTCCCCAAACATGTCTGGTCTACTAATGAAACCATTGAAAGCATTTTTAAAAAATCTATTGGCGTTATTTTAATTTCTAGCCTTTTATTTTGGTTCTTTGTTAGAATTTTCATCTCTCTGCTTATACTAATCATCTTTTATTGAATATTTTCTACATTTTCCACTAGTGTCCTTAACATCTTAATCATAGTTATGTAAATTTCTTGATTGCTATTTCCAAAATATGCATCATCATCACTGAGTCTTGTTCTGATGATCATCCTGTCTCTTCAGATTGTTAATTTTTTTCTTGCCTTTTACCATGTTTTGTAATTTTGTTGCCATTATTGAGCGCCAGACATGTGGTATCCATAATAGATATTGAGATAAATTGATGCTGAGATAAATTGATACTGAGATAAAGTTAATTGAGGATATATGTTAATCTGTCTTGGAGTTGAACTGCATTTAATATTTGTTATAGCTCAAGTTTCTGAAGGTTTCAAATTCCTCTAGTGTCCTTGTTTTTGTCTCCTCCCTTAACTTTAGGTTTCCTTAAGTACTCATCTTCAAACAGTGTCTGTTTCTTATAGCTCTTTTGTCTGTCTCCTTATATTGGAGTCATGTTGGTTTAAATTTTATGGTATGAGCAGAGAAATATGTTCTATAGTGCTCTGATTGAATATCCGCCTTTCAGTGGGCCTATGTCTTAGGTTATGACTTTTACGAGTGTTTTGCCAGTAGTTTATCTTTTGTCCCTGTTACAGGACTGCCAGATTCATATGCCCACTGAGCAGCAATAGACCAATACACTGAGACATCATAATTTCCAGCAGAAAAAGAGTTTAATAATCACAATGCCATTGGGCAAAGAGATGAAGGAATCCTCAAGCTTCAAATCTGTCTGCTTGAGGGGTTCTGGACCAGGGTTTTTAAGGGGATTGTGGCGGGTGAGGTTCTGGAGAATTGGGGTTGTCAATTGCTCAGGTCAAGGAAGATTAAATCATCACAATGTGAAAACTGCATTCTTCTGTGAGTCGGCTCCTTGCTGGGACCTTCAGATCAACTGGCGTCAACAATTTTATCAGTATGCGTAACATAAAGGAGAAACTCAAACAGAAAGCGTATCATCTCATGTGCCTTAGATCTTATCTATAGAAAAGAAAAGGAACACATTCTTGTGACAAGGGCTACACTATCTTGGGGGAGTAAGAAGTAACTAGCTACAAGGAAGTAGGCCAAATTGGGAAGTGGATTTCATGATTGCCACTGATTATTCTGCAAGCCTAGTTGAATTTTATTTTCTCCCTTAATTGGTTTATAAACTTTTCTTTGGGACAGTTTCATCCTTTATCCCCTTTAGATGAGAAAAGAAGGTTAAATGAGGAGGTGCCAAGATGGCCAATTAGAAGCAGCTGTGGTCTGTGACTCCCATCTAGAAGAACAAAAATGGCGAGTGAATTCTGCACCTTCATCTGAGGTATCCAGATTCTCTCACTGGGAGTGACAAGGTGATTGGCCTGACCCACAGGGAGCAAGGAAAAGCAGGGTGGAGCAATGCCTCACTTGGGAGCTGCATGGGGCAAGGGGCACTCCCACCCCCAGTCAAGGGAGGCAGTGAGTGATTGTGCTCCCTTTCCTGAGGAACCATGCTTTTTCCATGGATCTGTGCAACTCACAGATCAAGAGATCCCCTTGTGAGCCCACACCACCAGGGCCTTGGGTGCCAAGCACAGAGCTGTGCAGACTCTCATCACCGCTCAGGCTGTGGCCAGTGACAGCAGACTGGAGACTGTCTAAGATGACTGAGTTCCCAGGGGAAGGGGTGGTTGCTATCACTGTGGCATCAGTTGGCTGTTTTCCCCTGGTGGTGCTGGGGAGACAGGGAGGTTTAGACCGGGAGCACAGCAGCTGTGGCAGATCATGGCCAGACTGCTTTTTTAGGTGGAACCTGGATCCATCCCTATTCATTGGGTGGGGCCCCCTTGTGGGAATTTCACCAACTCCAGCCAGAGGTTTATGGACAGAACTCTGATCTTCCTGGGCAGAACTCCTGTGGGGAGGGACAGCCACAGTCTCTGCGGTTCAGCAGACTTAGTCTTTCCTGCCTGCTGGCTCTGAAGGGTCTGGACATTCTGGACAAGGGAGATTCCCTCCAGTGCAGTGCACCCTCTCTGCCAAGGGGCAGCCAGAGTGCTTTATTAAGTGGTCCCCGATCCTGTACATACTCCCTAACTGATTGAGACCACCAACAGGGGTCTCCAGGCACCTTATACAGGAGTGTTCCTGCTGGCATCACATCAGTGCCCCTCTGGGATGGAGTTCAAAAAAGAAGGAGCAGGCAGTCATCCTTGCTGTTCTGCAGCTTCCACTGGTGACACCTCCAGGTAGGGGAGGGACCAAGTGAATAGGGTCTGGAGTGGACCCCCAGCAAACTGCGGCAGCCCTAAGGAAGAGGGGTCTGACTGTTGAAAGGAAAACAAACAAACAGAAAACAACAACAACAAAAACATCCACAAAAATGGCCCCACAAAAACCCCTTCCAAAGATCAGCAGCCTCAAAGATCGAAGATAGATAAGCTCATGAAGATGAGAAAGAATCAATGCAAAAATGCTGAAAACTCAAAAAGCCAGAATGCCTCTTCTCCTCCAAATGATTGCAACACCTCTCCAGCAAGGGCACAGAACTGGGTGGAGGCTTGAGGTGGATGAACTGACAGAAGTATTCTTCAGAAGGTGGGTAATAACAAATTTTGCTGAGCTAAAGTATATTCTAAAACAATTCAAAGAAGCTAATAATCATGAAAACATTATAGGAACTGTAAACCAGAATAACCAGTTTATAGAGGAACATAAATGACCTGATGGACCTGAAAAACACAACACCAGAACTTCACAATGCAACCACAAGCATAAATAACTGAATAGACCAAGCAGAGGAAAGAATCTCAGAGCTCAAAGACTATCTTGCTGAAATAAGACAGGCAGATAAGATTAGAGAAAAAACTGAAAAGGAATGAAAAATAATCAGAGAACTATGGAATTATGTAAAAAGACCAAACCTACAACTGATTGGGGTACCTGAAAGAAATGAGGAGAATGAAACCAAGTTGGAAAACATACTTCAGGAAATCATTCAGGAGAATTCCCCAACCCAGCAAGACAGGCCAACATTCAAATTCAGGAAATTCAGAGGACTTCAGTAAGATCCATGAGAAGATCAACCCAAAACACATAATGGGCAGTATCTCCAAGGTCAAAATGAAGGAAAATTTTTAAGAGCCATGTCACCTAGAAAAGGAAGTCCATCAGAATAACAGTGGACTCCTCAGCAGAAACCCCATAAGCCAGAAGAAATTGGGGGCTAATATTCAACAGTCTTTTTTTTTTATACTTTAAGTTTTAGGGTACATGTGCACATTGTTCAGGTTAGTTACATATGTATACATGTGCCATGCTGGTGCGCTGCACCCACTAACTCGTCATCTAGCATTAGGAATATCTCCCAATGCTATCCCTCCCCCCTCCCCCCACCCCACAACAGTCCCCAGAGTGTGATATTCCCCTTCCTGTGTCCATGTGATCTCATTGTTCAATTCCCACCTATGAGTGAGAATATGCGGTGTTTGGTTTTTTGTTCTTGCGATAGTTTACTGAGAATGATGATTTCCAATTTCATCCATGTCCCTACAAAGGACATGAACTCATCATTTTTTATGGCTGCATAGTATTCCATGGTGTATATGTGCCACATTTTCTGAATCCAGTCTATCGTTGTTGGACATTTGGGTTGGTTCCAAGTCTTTGCTATTGTGAATAATGCCGCAATAAACATATGTGTGCATGTGTCTTTATAGCAGCATGATTTATAGTCCTTTGGGTATATACCCAGTAATGGAATGGCTGGGTCAAATGGTATTTCCACTTCTAGATCCCTGAGGAATCGCCACACTGACTTCCACAATGGTTGAACTAGTTTACAGTCCCACCAACAGTGTAAAAGTGTTCCTATTTCTCCACATCCTCTCCAGCACCTGTTGTTTCCTGACTTTTTAATGATTGCCATTCTAACTGGTGTGAGATGGTATCTCATTGTGGTTTTGATTTGCATTTCTCTGATGGCCAGTGATGATGAGCATTTTTTCGTGTGTTTTTTGGCTGCATAAATGTCTTCTTTTGAGAAGTGTCTGTTCATGTCCTCCGCCCACTTTTTGATGGGGTTGTTTTTTTTTTCTTGTAAATTTGTTTGAGTTCATTGTAGATTCTGGATATTAGCCCTTTGTCAGATGAGTAGGTTGCGAAAATTTTCTCCCATTTTGTAGGTTGCCTGTTCACTCTGATGGTAGTTTCTTTTGCTGTGCAGAAGCTCTTTAGTTTAATTAGATCCCATTTGTCAATTTTGTCTTTTGTTGCCATTGCTTTAACTCATTTTATGAGGCCAGCATCATTCTGATACCAAAGCCAGGCAGAGACACAACAAAAAAAGAGAATTTTAGACCAATATCCTTGATGAACATTGATGCAAAAATCCTCAATAAAATACTGGCAAAACAAATCCAGCAGCACATCAAAAAGCTTATCCACCATGATCAAGTGGGCTTCATCCCTGGGATGCAAGGCTGGTTCAATATATGCAAATCAATAAATGTAATCCAGCATATAAACAGAGCCAAAGACAAAAACCACATGATTATCTCAATAGATGCAGAAAAAGCCTTTGACAAAATTCAACAACCCTTCATGCTAAAAACTCTCAATAAATTAGGTATTGATGGGATGTATTTCAAAATAATAAGAGCTATCTGTGACAAACCCACAGCCAATATCATACTAAATGGGCAAAAACTGGAAGCATTCCCTTTGAAAACTGGCACAAGACAGGGATGCCCTCTCTCACCACTCCTATTCAACATAGTTTTGGAAGTTCTGGCCAGGGCAATTAGGCAGGAGAAGGAAATAAAGGGTATTCAATTAGGAAAAGAGGAAGTCAAATTGTCTCTGTTTGCAGATGACATGATTGTATATCTAGAAAACCCCATTGTCTCAGCCCAAAATCTCCTTAAGCTGATAAGCAACTTCAGCAAAGTCTCAGGATACAAAATCAATGTACAAAAATCACAAGCATTCTTATACACCAACAACAAACAAACAGAGAGCCAAATCATGAGTGAACTCCCATTCACAATTGCTTCAAAGAGAATAAAATATCTAGGAATCTAACTTACAAGGGATGTGAAGGACCTCTTCAAGGAGAACTACAAACCACTGCTCAAAGAAATAAAAGAGGATACAAACAAATGGAAGAACATTCCATGCTCATGGGTAGGAAGAATCAATATCGTGAAAATGGCCATACTGCCCAAGGTAATTTACACATTCAATGCCATCCCCATCAAGCTACCAATGACTTTCTTCACAGAATTGGAAAAAACTACTTTAAAGTTCATATGGAACCAAAAAAGAGCCCGCATTGCCAAGTCAATCCTAAGCCAAAAGAACAAAGCTGGAGGCATCACACTACCTGACTTCAAACTATACTAGAAGGCTACAGTAACCAAAACAGCATGGTACTGGTACCAAAACAGATATATAGATCAATGGAACAGAACAGAGCCCTCAGAAATAATGCCACATATCTACAACTATCTGATCTTTGACAAACCTGAGAAAAACAAGCAATGGGGAAAGGATTCCCTATTTAATAAATGGTGCTGGGAAAACTGGCTAGCCATATGTAGAAAGCTGAAACTGGATCCCTTCCTTACACCTTATACACAAATCAATTCAAGATGGATTAAAGAGTTAAACGTTAGACCTAAAACCATAAAAACCCTAGAAGAAAACCTAGGCATTACCATTCAGGACATAGGCATGGGCAAGGACTTCATGTCAACAGTCTTAAAGAAAAGAATTTCCAGCTCAGAATTTCATGTCTGGCCAAACTAAGCTTCATGAGCAAAGAAGAAATAAAATCCTTCTCAGACAAGCAAATACTGAGGGAATTCATCACAACCAAGACTGCCTTGCAAGAGCTCCTAAAGGAAGCACTGAATATGGAAGGGAAAAACCATTACCGGCCACTACAAAAACACAGTAAAGTACACAGACCAATAATATTATGAAGCAACAACATTAACAAGTCTGCAAAATAACCAGATAGCATCATAATCACAGGACCAAATTCACACATAAGAATATTAACCTTAAATGTAAATGGACTGAATGTCCCAATTAAAAGACAAAGACTGGCAAACTGGATCGTCAAGACCCACCAGTGTGCTGTATTCAGGTGAACCATCTCATATGCAAAGACACACATAGGCTCAAAATAAAGAGATGGAGGAAAATTTACCAAGCAAACAGAAAGCAGGAAAAGGAGGGGTTGCAATTCTAGTGTTTGAGAAAACAGGCTTTAAATCAACAAAGATAAAAAAAGACAAAGAAGGGAATTACATAATGGTTAAGTATTCAGTTCATCAAGAAGAGGTAACTATCCTAAATACACATGCACCCAATTTTAGAAGACCCAGATTCATAAAACAAGTTCCTAGAGATCTACAAAGACATTTAGACTCTCACATAATAATAGTGGGAGACTTTAACACCCCACTGTCAATATTAGACAAATTATCAAGACAGAAAGTTAACAAGGATATTCAGGACTCAAACAGCTGTAGATCAAGTGGACCTGATAAGTATCTACAGAACTCTCCATTCAAAAACAACAGAATATACATTCATCTTGGAGCTACATGGCACTTACTCTAAAATCGATCACATAATTGGAAGTAAAACACTCCTCTGCAAATGCAAAATAACTAAAATCTTGATAGTCTCTCAGACCACAGTACAATCAAATTAGAACTCAAAATTAAGAAACTCACTCAAAACCACACAACTACATAGAAATGTAACATCCTGCTTCTGAATGACTACTGGGTAAAAAATGAAATTAAGGCAGAAGTCAAGAAGTTATTTAAAACTAATGAGAACAAAGAGACAATGTCCCAGAATCTCTGGGATACAGCTAAAACAGCATTGAGGGAAATGTATAGCACTAAATATCCACATGAGAAATATCTCAAGTCAACTTCCTAACATCACAGTTTAAAGAACTAGAGAACCAAGAACAAACAAACCCCAACGCTAGCAGAAGGCAAGAAATAAGTAAGATCAGAGCAAAACTAAAGGAGATTGAGACAGGAAAAACCCTTCAAAAAATCAACAAATCCAGGAACTGTTTTTTTGAAAAAAATTAACAAAATAGACTTTTAGCTACACTAATAAGAAAAGAGAGAAGATCAAATAGACACAATAAAAAATGATAAAGGGGATATGAACACTGAGTTTACAGAAATACAAACAACCATCAGAGAATACTATAAACACCTCTATGCAAATAAATTAGAAAATCTAGAAGAAATGGATAAATTCCTGGACACATAAACTCCCAAGATTGAACCAGGAAGAAGTTGAATCCCTGAATAGACCAATAACAAGTTCTGAAATTAAGGCAGTAATATATAGCCTACCAACCAATGAAAGACCAGGACCAAATGGAATTATGGTGGAATTCTACCAGATGTACAAAGAGGAGCCAGTGCTATTTCCTCTGAAACTATTCCAAATGATTGAAGAGGAGAGACTCCTCCCTAATTCATGTTATGAGGCCAGCATCATCCTGATACCAAAGCCTGGGAGAGATACAACAAAACAAGACAACTTCAGGCCAATATCCCTGATGAACATCGATGCAAAAATCCTCAATAAAATACTGGCAAGCCAAATCCAGCAGCACATCCAAAAGCTTACCCACCACAATCAAGTTGGCTTCATCCCCGGGATACAAGGCTGTTTCAACATATGCAAATCAATAAATGTAATCCATTACATAAACAGAACTAAAGATAAAAACCTCATAATTATCTCAATAGATGCAGAAAAGGCCTTTCAACAACACTTCATGTTAAAATTCAACATCCCTTCATTTTAAAAACTCTCAATAAACTAGGTATTGAAGGACCATACCTCAAAATATTAAGAGCCATTTATGACAAACTAACAACCCATATCATACTGAATGGGAAAAAGCTGCGAGCATTTTCATTGAAAAGAGGCACATGACAAGGATGCTCTTTCTTACCACTCCTATTCAACATATTATTGGAAGTTCTGGCTAGAACAATTAAGCAAGAGAAAGAAACAAATGGTTTTCAAATAGGAAGAGAGGAAGCCAAATTGTCTCTGCAGATGACATGATCCTTTATCTAGAAAACCCCATTGTCTCAACCCCATTGTCAGCAAAATCTCAGGATAAAAAATCAATGTGTGAAAATCACAAGGATTCCTACACACTAACAACAGACAAGCAGAGAGCCAAATCATGAAAGAACTCCAATTCCACAATTGTTACAGAGAATAAAATACCTAGGAATACAGCTAAGAAGGGAAGTGATAGAAAGAATCAATATGATTAAAATGGCCATACTACCCAAAGTAATTTATAGATTCAATGCTATTCCCCTTATACTAACATTGACATTTTTCACAGAATTAGAATAATCTGTTTTAAAATTCATATGGACAAAAAAGAGCCTGTAGAGCCAAGATAATATTAAGCAAAAATAGCAAAGCTGGGGGGATCATGCTACCTTACTTCAAACTACACTACAAGGCTACCAAACCAGCATGTAAACAAAACAGCATAGTGGTGGTGCAAAAACAGACTCATAGACCAATAGAACAGAATTGAGAACTCAGAAATAAGACCACACAGCTACAACCATCTGATCTTCAACAAACCTGACAAACACAAGTAATGGGGAAAGGATTTTCTATTTAATTAATGGTGCTGGAAGAACTATGGAAGAACTTTAGCCATATGCAGAAAATTGAAACTGGACCCCCTTCCTTACACGTTATACAAAAATTAGCTCAAGATAGGTTAAAGACTTAAGTGTAAAATCCAAAACTATAAAAACCCTAGAAGAAAATCTAGGCAATACCATTCAGGACATAGGCATAGGCAAAGATTTCATGACAAAAATGCCAAAAACAATAGCAACAAAAGCAGAAATTAACAAATGGGGTCTAATTAAACTAAAGAGCTTCTGCTCAGCAAAAGAAACTATCATCACAGTGAACAGACAACCTACAGAATGGGAGAAAAATTTGCTATTTATCCATCCGACAAAGGTCTAATATCCAGAATTTACAGGGAACTTAAACAAATTTACAAGAAAAAAACAGACAATCCTATTAAACAGTGGGCAAAGGACACGAACAGGCACTTCTCAAAAGAAGACATTTATGTGGCCAACAAACATGCAAAAAAAAAGTTCAACATCACTAATCATTAGAGAAATGCAAATCAAAACCACAATGAGATACCATCTCACACTAGTCAGAATGGTGATTATTAAAAAGTCAAGAAACAACTGATACTGTTGAGGCTGCAGAGAAATAGGAATGCTTTTACACTGTTGGTAGGAATGTAAATTAGTTCAACCATTGTGGAAGACTGTGGCAATTCCTCGAAGTCCTAGAACCAGAAATACCATTTGACCCAGCA
Source organism: Homo sapiens (assembly GCF_000001405.40). Taxonomy (NCBI): domain Eukaryota; kingdom Metazoa; phylum Chordata; class Mammalia; order Primates; family Hominidae; genus Homo; species Homo sapiens. The sequence goes on along the minus strand of NC_000009.12, from coordinate 63,152,462 downwards.
ATCCCATTACTAGGTATGTACCCAAAGGAATATAAATCATTTTATTATAAAGATACATGCATGTGTGTGTTCATTGCAGCACTATTCACAATAGCTAATACATGAAATCAACCCAAATGCCCATCAATGATAGACTGGGCAAATAAAATGTGGTACATATACAACATGGAATACTATGCAGCCATAAAAGGAAATGAGATCAAGTCCTTTGCAGGGACATGGATGGAGCTGAAAGCCATTATCCTCAGCAAACTAATGCAGGAACAGAAAACCTTGAAATATGAGCTATAATGAGGGGCACTAGAGGTACTTGGCTTTAAAAAGACATAGGTGCAGTGACATGATGTTAGTTACATAGCCTTTGAAGTCATGTTGTGTGAAAGAGCAGTTGGATATTGACGTTGGCTACCAAAACCAATGGGTAGGCATTTAGATTTTGGTTCACTAGAAAACCTGAACTATCTATCGATTAAGCTCTCAAAAACTAAATAGACTGCTGCCTCCTAAATAAAATATGTCTCCCACTGTGGAAATGTCATTGATTTTCAATTTGTATAGCTTTTATTATTATTATTATTGTAAGGCCAGGAATGACAACTTCTGAGCCCTTCACATGTTGGTGATAAATCCAAAAGTCCTGTAATGTATTTGTTTTCTCATTTTTTAAAACCAAATATTTGAAGCTATTTTATTAAGGGTTTCCTTTTCCTCAAAAAGTAAATGCATTAAATATAATCTAGATAGTCTACACTCATGAGAAAGATATTTCATTGTATATAACCAGAGCTATAGGCCTACAAACATTTGGACTTTATCAGAGGTAAATAATAAGAGATAATACTATTCGTTAAAATTAAAGTATAAATTTAGATCATTATTTTTAATTGGTTATTTTTTAAAGCTGACATAACTTTAATTTACAATGTAAACTCAGGAGTGAAAGAGCATTAAGTAACTCATGATCTGTAAAGAAAATTTCAAAATTTAAGGTAAGTAATGAGATTTCCCCATATTTCTGTGTTTAATTCATCAATGTTTTTAAAATACTTAAACCAGCTAAGAAGTGTGTTCAGGTTTCTATTTATTTTAAAAGTGACTTACGTATTTTTCTCACAAGGGAGGATGATTGTAGAGGAGATTAGAGCCTGCATCGTGGTTCCAAGTTAGCATCACCGTTCCTGGTCCTTCCATCTTTCTGCTTAGTCATATTTAACTTGTGTTTATTTCTTCATGATCAGAATATGTGTCTTTCTCAACTATCATATGTATGTTCTAGGTAGAAAGGAGAAAAACAAGAATTTATGTTGTTCTGTCAAATTATAGAAAGTTTATTTGATAATAAATCAACTGTTAAAAAGTACCCCTTAAAAGTATAGTAAGTATACAATATTAAAAGAAAGCATGGGACTTTGCACAATTGTGAAATCTATTGAGAATTTTGTAAGTTTTTAAATTTTGATCTGTGCTGTCATTTATTAATTCAGTCAAAATTTGCTTCAAAAACACATAGTTGTCAGAATATGTAAGTTCCTTAGAAGAGTGCAATCTATAAGTAAAATAATTCTGAATATTCATCTGAAATAGTTTGAAAAGGTTTTGAAAATCTACTGTCTCTCTTATTTCTTGTAATCAACATATTTCTCAATAGGAAAATTCACCATTTGCCATCAAAATGTATTGTCTGAAACTTCCACTGGAACCTTCATATGGCAAAATATTTAGGCATTCTGAGGAGATGCAAAGTTTGTTAAGCAGAATAAATGTGTTTTAATATTTAATAATTATAAATGATATTTGGAAAATTATAAAGATGTTCTTAGTTCAATTAATAGAGTAAGATTTATATATCTATTAAGAGTGCTGGGCCAGACAGGGTGGCTCACGCCTATAACCCCAGCACTTTGGAAGCCCGAGGCGGGAGGATCACCTGAGGTCAGGAGTTTGAGACCAGCCTGGCCAACATGGTGAAACCCCATCTCTACTAAAAATACAAAAATTAGCAGAGCATGGTGGTGCTTGCCTGTAATCCCAGCTACTGAGGAGGCTAAGGCAGGAGAATTGCTTAAACTCGGACATTTCAATGAGCTGAGATCTAGCCACTGCATTCCAGCCTGGGCAACACAGTGAAACTCCGTCTCAAAACAAAACAAAAAAAAACAAAAGTGCAGACAACACATTATAATCAATATTAAAAGTTTTTATGTTGAAAGATGGATAAGAATTAAAACTTTGATTTTTCAACTGAGATATTTAGTTGAGATATTTGAAATTACTGGAAAGCAAAAGGAAATTTTAATGTACTGCGGAGTAGCCTAGGGTAGTATGTGTATGTATTTCTACTAAATGCAAAAGAAAGTACCAGATAAAAATGCAATAGGCTTCTACTTCTAGTTCAGGATGGGAAAAGATGGGGAAGACCAAAAAAGATCTGCATAATGCACAAATCCATGTGATTTCTGAAGGGAGTGGACACGATCAGTCTTGATAAACTGATAACTAGTTAGTGGATCTGCAGGTTTCATCTGTGGTATTTTCTTTTAGATGATTTGTGTAGTGACTAAAAAACAGTCAATACATTTAAATAAACTGCACATTGTGCACATGTACTCTAAAACTTAAAGTATAATAAAAAAATAATACAATAAATAAATAAACTTATTTTCTGGTTTAGTAATTGAGGTTGGCCAATGTCTATTATTAATTGTTAACTATTTCCTAATCAATAATCTGTCTTATATTAAACTGTACATACACATTACAAGAAATTTGAGTTACACTCACACATAACTGAATAACATATTTAATGCTTATATAGGCATGCATATAATGTTAAAATCTAGATATAAAAATAAGAAAATGAAACCATAATTTTTAAGTAATGGAACTTGTTCCAAAAAATCAAATGTGGTTATGCATTGGTATGACAATTCTGAATCCTGCCCTCAGGCAGCATCTGAACACTGTTTTATTAGCTATCAATAAATTGTCTGCACTGCAGGCCGATGATGGTTTAAGGACAGCAGTGTTAATAATAATGTTCAAAGTGTCAGTCTGGAGGGGAGGCAATAATTGACTGTATGAGACTATTAAGCTATAAAAACAATGTTTTATTTTGAGCATCAAAATATGATAGACAGAGCTTCAAATGCTCTTGGTGAAGTCATTATTAACACATACAAAACTGATTTTCATTCAACATTTACTGTAGAGAAAATTATATTCCATCAGGCTTTAAAATTGAGAAGAAAACAGAAAGAGTAAGTCTTAAATGCCTTTCTTCCTCACCTTCCTCCTTCACCTAGTTTGCCTGCGGACCTACACTGTTACATTCCCACATACCTCCTGTGTGTATTTCTTTGCAGATCATTTACCTTACATTTCTACATTTCCCCTTAATTTTTTCCTCATCAATAGATGAGAAAAAAAATTTGTTAAATCATGGTAGATGAATATGGACCAGATCATCCCATGAACTACGTTCAATCATTGGTTTTACCTTTCAAAAAATTCTGAATGAAATATGTAATAATTTAATATTCTAAAACTTTATTTTTTCAGGAATATTTACATATATTCACCCTTCCTTCTAAAACAGTGGCCAGAGCAGTTAGAAAACAAAAGCATGAGAAACAGTAACTCTTACAGTTGTATTATGCCTGTATGCCTCCCCAGTTCTGCAAAGATTATGAGGATTTTTTTAGGTCTGTACATAGTTTTAAAATATCCTAAAACAATCCACATAAATAAACTCATTACCATAATAATCTGCAAGATAGACATTGTCATCCTCAAGTAATATCAAATAAATCTTATTTGCCTGCAAGATCTGAATCTGAAAATCCCAAAGCTCAAGTTTACCTAGCTAATAGGTAGTAAGACTGGGGCCTCAATCTGGTTTATCTAATTCTGAAAAGTGTTTTGCTATAAAAGCACTATAGGAAATAAAACATTAGACTTTATACCTTTAGATAATAAGAATATTTATGTCATTGAACCTGAAAAGATACTGTTTAACTTTCATGTTCTACTTGTCATTTTTCTTTTCTGCTTTTATATGTAATTTAGGTAATAGATACCCAGGAATCAACTTAAATTCCCATCAGTGGTAGACTGGAAAAAGAAAGTACGGTACATATACACCATGAATTACTATGCAGCCATAAAAAAGAATGAGATCTGTCCTTTGCGGCAACATGGATGGAGCTTGGAGGCCATTATCCTTAGCAAAGTAACACAGGATCAGAAAACCCAATACTCCCTATTTTCACTTATCACTGGGAGCTAAATAATGAGAACACATTGACAGAAAGAGCAGCACAATAGACACTAGGGTGTGCTTGAGGGAGGAGGATGAGAGATGGGTGAGGTTCAGGGAAAAAAAAATTGTTGGGTACTATGCTTACTACTCAGGTGACAAAATAATCTGTACATCAAACCCCTGAGTCACGAATTTACCTAAAGAACAAACCTCCACACGTTCCCATGAACCTAAAATAAAAGTTAAAATATTTAAAATAATAATAATAATTTAAAAATGTGAAATGTTGTGATAATTACTAAAATGTCAAATAGAGACACAAGGTGAGCACGTTGTTGGAAAAATAGAATGAATAGACTTGCTTGATGCAAGATTGCCACAAACCTTCAATTTGTGAAAAATGTGTTATTTGTGAAGAGCTATAAAGTGAAGCACACGCAAAAAAAGTGAGTTTGATTAATGCAATTCATTGTTGCTGAAAGATACCTTGAAATATGAGCTATAATGAGGGGCACTAGAGGTACTTGGCTTTAAAAAGACATAGGTGCAGTGGCATGATGTTAGTTACATAGCCTTTGAAGCCATGTTGTGTGAAAGAGCAGTTGGATATTGACGTTGGCTACGAAAACCAATGGGTAGGCATTTAGATTTTGGTTCAGTAGAAAATCTGAACTATCTATCGATTAAGCTCTCAAAAACTAAATAGACTGCTGCCTCCTAAATAAAATATGTCTCCCACCATGGAAATGTCAAGCTAGGGTCACAATTCAAGTAATGTATATATGGATCTAATGACTTCCAAGATGCTTCTCCAACTTAAAGTTTTAGACAAGTACCTTTTAAAACAGTATACCATTTGAATTACCTGCAACCATTTTAATATTTCTGAGAGGGTTTTTTTTGTGTGTGCTCCTTCTGTCATCACATGGAGAGTTATTTTGCCTTTTAGGGTAAAATATAAAAACAAATGCACGTCACAATATGATGTGGCAAACGTTACCCAGAAGCCTTAGTGATGTTGTTGCGATGGTATTAGCATGCACAGAGTATGCAACTCGCAGCTCTGCTGTGTGCACTTGTTCTTTTGCTTTCTCTCATGTGTTCTGCTCCATATATTTTAAGAGAGTTTAATGTGGGTGTTCCAATTCAATCCCATTAGAGTACTATGTATATTATTGTTACTAAACCTTGCCTTCATAATCATTCCTATGTATGTGGTCTATTGAAAAGCAATCATTTATATCTTTAGGAGGATGAATGGGAAGTCACAGATCTAGAACAATAATCAACTTGAACTCATGCTGCTAGCACAGGTATGGATTTTTAATATAATCTCAGGCAGGGAAGTGCTTGTAGGCATGTTTTCTCAGTCAGGAGCTGAGAGCATATGCACGATGGCAGACACAAGGTAACTACCCTTTGGCTGGTTGAAAGATGAAGTCGTTATAAAGCTGGATTTTAAACCAAATGCAGTGCTGGCTGCTGTCTGGACTTACCTAAAACATACACTATATTTTAAAAAGAAGGCTGAGAGTCACAGAAGTAAAACAAATAAATTCCAAAGTTGGTGTTTTATATTATCATTTATCTGCAATAAGTGATAATTGATATTCCAAAAATATACTTTGCTTTGAATTCAAATTGTTTATTTTGAACAATTAGTGAGTTCATCTCTGCACATGCCTAAAGAAGATAAATCAATAAATAAAAGAATAAAAATTAAAACTCTATATAATAAACACTTGATTTCTTAGTCCTGATTTCTCTTTTATTATGAAGACCAGAAGCAGAATGTTATTCTATTTTACCTAAAAATATATATATGATCTTTAGAAACTCCTTGTCAGCAATCATCTATCTGTGTGTGGGTGTATATATATATATATATATATATATATATATATATATATATATACACATATATATATATCTCATACAAACAATATGTATCACATTTATATGTTATCAAGCACAATCATATAATAAACCCACAAATGTCCAACTCCAAAACTAGAAAATTATTAATAGCTTGTACTACTCCTGTGTTCTTCCCCATCTGCCTGTAGGAATTATTTCTTTTTCTAAAATAGTTTTCTTACATACATATATATATCAAATAATGTGTTTTTGCTTATTTTTCAGCTACAAGATTGTGTCACACTGTATATAGTCTACCGTATTACTTTTTTTTTTTTTTTTTGAGAGGCAGTCTCACTCTGTCACCCAGGCTGGAGTGCAGTGGCACAATCTCCATTCACTGCAACCTCCGCCTCCCGGGTTCAAGGGATTCTCTCCTGCCTCAGCCTTTTGAGCAGCTGGGATTACAGGTGCCCAACTACACCAGGCTTTTTTTTTTTTTGAGACCGAGTCTCGCTCTGTCGCCAGGCTGGAATGCAGTGATGTGATCTTGGCTCACTGCAACCTCCGCCTCCCAGGTTTAAGCAGTTCTCCCACCTCAACCTCCCGAGTAGCTGGGACTACAGGTGTGTGCCATAACACCCGGCTAATTTTTGTATTTTTAGTAGAGACAGGGTTTCACCATGTTGGCCAGGATGGTCTTGATCTCTTGACCTCGTGATCCACCCACCTTGGCCTCCCAAAGTGCTGGGATTACAGGTGTGAACCACCACACCCAGCTACTGTATTACTTTTTATGCTTCCAGAATTTTTCTGTGTTGTTGCAGGTGTCTGTTGTGCCTTAATTTTTGCTATTGTAGAGGATTCTATTATGTGCAATTGCGCAGCAGTGTATGTATCTGTTCCCCTGTGGATGGACATTTGGGTTGTGTCCAGTGTCTCTTGACCACCTACCTTGTGCCATGCCCCCGACCCTCCTGCCATTACTCCACAATCTAGCTACATCCACAAAGCCATGACTTCACAAAACCCTGTCTTCCACTTCTGAGCTCCAGACCATATAAAAGGCGTAATGGTGTTTATTGAGCACTTACTCTGAGCTAGAAACGATTCTCAACATTTTACATGTGGTAGCGCATTTAATATTCACAGCAACACAAATGGGAAGTAATATTCTTATCACCGTTTTACAAATGAGAAGACCAAGGCCCAGAAGAGTTGAATATCTTGCTCAAGATCACACACCTTTTGCCACCCCCCATTCCAAGTCCCATAGGCAACTCAGACTCAGCACATCCATGATGTAACTTATCATCTTCCTCTCCAAACCATTTCCTCATTTGTGCCCTACTCTCAGTGGGGACATCTCCAATCCCCGGGCCCAAGCTGGAAACCGGAAGCCATTTCTGACTCCTCCCTCACCCACTCCATCCAAATGGAGCCCAAGTCCTGTACATTGTACTTCTCGGGTATTGATCAATCCCGGCCCTTGTCTCCACGCCCACGGTGCTGACCCATTGTTAGGTGCCCGGCTGCTGCTCCTGGGTCATCACTTCCCAGCACTCTCTTCGCAGGCCCATCTCCACCATTTCCAGCATCCTACACACTGCGGCTCAGGTGTGCTTTCTAAACCTCACCTCACCATGTCCCCACCTCCAGAATGAAGCCCAGCCTCCTCTGCCCATCCCCTCAAACTGTAAAGTGCAGATCCCAGCCCCAAAAAGGACACCCCCCACCACAATACCCTGCTCTGTCTCCTCCTCTGGGAAACCTCCTGGCCTTGGCCCAGAGGCTGGATGTGAGCTCCCCCACCCCAAGCCCCACAGCCTCCAAGCCTCCCACTCTGCACTCACCTTCTTCCTTATAATTACCTGTCACCCATTAAACTGCAACCCTCAAAGGCAGAGCCCAGTGCATCCACTGCGCATCCCCAGTGTCCAGGCAGGGCCTGCACACAGTAGGTGCACAATAATTGTTGAAAGGCAAAATACATGAGCAATGACAGGAACCATGGGTGATACTGCCTTCTGAGCCCCAGGCAACAGAGTGATTCCTGCCTGGCCCCAGGGTCAGTGGATCCTGGCCCCTCACCCCACCCAACCTCTGCAGCTGCTTCCCTGGAGCCCTTGGAGCCCTAAGAGGCCTCTTCCTGTGTCTTCATGTGTTCGAAGGATTTCCCTCTTTGCATCTTCCTTTCCTATTCCTTCATGTGGGAGCACTCTGGCACCAGGAAGAAGAAAGAGGAGCCCAACCCCTTACCAGCCTTCAATCTATAACAAGCATTCTCAAGGGAATTAAAACTGATTCTTAAAAGGGGAGGTGAAAAAAAATCTTACTCTTTTTTACGTATAAAGCACAGAACATATACAGAACATAAACAGATGTATAGTATATCTGTGGTATTAAAATTTCATGTGATTAAGAAAAAAAATCTGGAAGAATACTAGGGAAGGCACTAATGAAAAAAAGGCTAAAAAATTCTGATCTACCTTCTTGGGCCATGCCTTGTCTGGTCCAAGAACCGGCCAGAACTCGGGGAAGGGAACAACCAGGGGAGAGTCTAGAGTCCAGTCTCAGGATCCCCTCAAAGTATTTCCAAAGCCAGCCCCCCACCAGTCAGCTACAGTCCTTTCACCAAAACTGCCCTTCCTTCCCCCTTGCCTGAAAATCCCTCATTCTGTTTCTGTCATTCTTTCATCTTACCTTGTTCCTACTGAGGGCGCAGGTCAGCTCTTCCCCATTCTCCCCCTGGGGCACCCCAGTTCCCAGGGCATGAAAGACTTGAGGTGCCTCACCTCTACACCTTGGGCTAAGACATAGCCCTAGAGCTCCTGGAAGAACCCAGGAGGGAAGCCCAACCACAGGAGGCCCCCAGGAAGTGGGGGTACTGCTGTGGGACAAGCTTCTCTTTATTGGGGAAGGGATGGGATCACAACTAATCTCTGCTTAGAAGTGCTCTAGGGCCATGGATTCATGTAAGGGTGGGGCAGGGTGGACTGAAGATCTGTTGGCAGGGCTCACGGAGATGAGGGTAAGGGGAGAGATCATGGGTTCATGAGATCCCATCTTGGGCAATACGGTTATCCCGTGGTCTTCATATGCCACAGAGTCCTCCAATTTCAGGGGCTCCCGTGGGATGGTGGAGCCAATGAAGACCAGGTAGATGATGCCACCTAGAGAGGCACCCAGAAGTGGTGCCACCACTGGCACCCACCACAAGTTCTCCCCATCGCTGCAGGCAAGAGGCAGAGGCCGGCTGAGGGGGCTGATGCCCAGGACAGCACCCTCATCCACCTCGGGCCAAGACTGGTTGAGCAGAGGAGTCATCCTCAGGCTAACCCAGGAAACACCCCCAACCCGGGGCCCTGGTCAGCCTCAGCCCGATTCAGGGACAGGGTTGACACTCAGTGCAGGTGCAGGATCTGTATCTGTACTGGCCTGGGGAAATGTTGGGACTCACTCCTGCTCCCCAGGCCACCTGGGGGCTCTGCAGGACCCTCCTGTGCTGCCCCTCACATCACCCCCCACACCTCAACACACAGGGGCCCCACAGAAAATCTCAAAGGAATGGGCCTGGGCAGGGGCAGTACCTGAAGACCAGTTTGCCCCAACCAGCAATGAAGGTGAAGATGCGGGGGGGCAGGTCCCGGGACGGATTGATGGCATATCCTGTGTTCATGCCATGGTACACCCTGATGATGACCACGAGGATGCCTATCACCAGTGCGTGTGTTCCTGGCAGTGCTGGGTTGTTCTCCTGGTCCACGATGGCGAAGAGACACAGCTGGAGCATCCCGGTCAGCCACTCCTGAGGAGCAGATGCTGTGGAAGCTCACCTGGGCCCCTCCCCAAGCCACAGGACCTCGGCAGTGCCCCAGACCCAAGCCCACCAGCAGAGACACATCTTGGTACAGTCTCCATCCAGAGTTCTTGTCCTGTCTATCCGGAGGGACTCCCTGCTGGCTCCGTCCTGAGGGGTGGAGGGCAGGGGGAGGGGTACTCATCCTGGACCACTGACCTCATTCAGGAAGCCCCGCCACAATGTCATGTGATCAGGAAGGTAGGTGGCAAAAATGCCAGCTGTAGCAACGGGACCGGTCACCATCAGCTCTCCACCCGAAAAGTGGAGAATGGCCGCTGTGGAGACACAGACTATCATGCGAACCTGTCCCCAACTAAGCCCCACCAGGGTCCCGGAAATTAGGTTATAGGTTAGAGGGTGGGAGACCTCCAAGGCTTTTTTCTCCCAGCTATTTTTTACAAATCAGGACACTGAGGTCCAATCTGCCCATATTTCATAGGAGGCAGCTGAGGCCAGAGGCGGACACCCGGGCAGGACGCTCACTGTAGAAGAGACTGTAGATGGTGGCAGCTGCCAGGAAGGAGCCCAGGAACTGCCCCAGCACATATACTGGAAACTTCCTCCAGGGCACACGGCCCAGTGCACAGTTAGTGAGGCTCACAGCTGCGTTCATGTGGGCTCCTGCGGGCAGCAGGCAAGTGTGTCAGGGAGTGAGAGCAGAACAAACAACAGTGACAAACAGTATGAGAACAACGATGGCTAGTGTGTATGACAGCATGCTCCGTGACAGAGTTCTCTCCTTGAGCCCTCACAACCACCCCGTGAGGCAGGGGCCACCGTCTTCCTTTCACTCTTAAGGAAACTGAGGAACACAGAGGCGATGGCTTGCCTAAGATCACCCAGCCAGTGAAAATGGTAGGTCGGGGGGGCCAGGAAGAATCTGGGGCAGACACGTCATAGGCACGGGCTTCAGAGGAGACTTCCTCCCACCCGGTGGCCAGGCTGAGGCACTGGCTGTGCTGGCAAAGGAGCTGGCTGAGGCGGGCAGGAAAGAGCCTGTTGGGGACACCTGGTCTTGCCCGGTCCGGCAGGGCCTGGGCTCACTCACCAGAGGTGCGGCCTGCCATGTGCACTCCCATGGTGACTCCGAAGCCAAAACCCAAGTTGACACCAAGGTAGCTCCCAAATGTTTTATTTAGAAGCATATGGGCCACGGAACCAAGGCCGAATACCTACAAGGGAGGGCCTCTAAGGGGGCTGCCTTCCCAGAAGCCCCAACCTCAGAGGAGGGCTCAGAGCTCAGTTCTAGCTCCTCACCCCCATGCCCTGGGCCTCCCTGGCGTTGCCTCGAAGACCCTCTGCCATGCCCTCTTCCTCCAGAGCCTTCCCTCCTCACTGCCTCCTCTCCTTGCCCCTGCTGAGGCCTCTCAGACCTGAGCCACTGAGAGCCGGGTGGAGCAGCAGAGTTAGAAGCTCTTACTACAAACATCCAAGCACCTCAGCCCCAGGCCCACCTGAAGTTTTGGGGTGAGGCAGGGCTGCAAGGAGGGGATGGCTGGCATGCATTGCACCCCCTCAGAGTCCCTCACACTTCAGGCTGACCTGAAGGAAGTTTCTTCAAGGGACCTCCAAATCCATCCATGCCTGACTCTGCCAGGAACCCCTCCCTACACACACACACTCCACCGCAATTCCCACAATGCTGGAACAGTGGGGCCCTAACTGTCTTGCCCTCAGCTTCATTTCCACTGACCTCAGGCGGCATTCCCAAGCTGCTGCTTCTTGCCCATCCCTCACGGCTCCTCAGATAATGCTGCCTTCACAGGGGAAGGGGCCTACCTTCAGGCCCATTACCCTCAGTCTAGAGCCACTGTTCCCTTCAGCCCTGGCTCCTGTGCTATCCTCTCCCTCTGCAGAGGCCTCCGTCTCCCCCATACCTTCCATCCTCCCATTGATCGGTTCCCACACACTGGAGTCTCATCCTTCCCAGCAAACTGTCCCACCCCTGCCCAGTGTCCTTCTCCAGCTGTGGGTTCCTGGTTGCCCCCTCCCTGTTTCAGTCAGGCTGCAGGAGAGAACACACTGGCCAGCTGCTTCACCCCTTCCCTCGCACCCCCTCCTCAATCTGGCTTCCATTTCCACATGTCACAGACACCAAAGCTCTCTCCAAGGGCTCCAGCAACCTCCTGATTTTCCAAAGGTCTTTTCAGGCATGGTTTTACCACGTAGACAGTCTCAGCTATGCCTGATGCGCTGAAATTCCCGTCATCTCCGTGGGGGAGCCAGATGCCTATTTGCAAATCCCCACTGCAACTCTCCTGGTGTTCCACGGACGTCTCAGGCTCTGTTGAAGGTTCGCCATCTCACAGCACACCTGCTCCTCACTCTATGTTCCCCATCCCCGTTGGCCGAGCCAGAAACTCAGATGTTGCAAATGATAGTTAAGCACTATTATTCTCCCCCACTTGACAGATGGGTAATCTGAAGCTTAGAGAACTTGAATGGCTTGTCCAAGGTCACACAGCCTGTACATGGTGAGCCAGGATTAAATCCAGGCAGTTACCTGTGCCAGATGGCCTCAAACCAAACAACTGCGCTGCTCCATGCATGCCTTGCTTTCTTGTGCCTCTGTTTTATTTGTTTGTTTGTTTGATGCTTGAGATAGGGTTTTGCTCTATCACCCAGGCTGGAGTGCAGTGCCATGATCAGGGCTCATTGCAGCCTCCATCTCCTGGGCTCAAGTGATACTCCCACCTCAGCCTCTCAAGTAGTTGGGACTATGGGCATGTGCCTCGACACGCAGCCAATTTTTTTTTTTTTTTTTTTTGAGACAGTCTTGCTCTGTCGCCCAAGCCGGAGTGCAATGGCGCAATCTCGGCTCACTGCAACCTCCAACTCCCGGGTTCAAGTGATTCTCCTGCCTTAGCCTCCCGAGTAGTTGAGATTATAGGTGCATGCCACCATGCCCAACTATTTTTTTGTATTTTTAGTAGAGACAGGGTTTCACGATGTTGGCCAGACTGGTCTCAAACACCTGACCTCAGATGATCAGCCTGCCTTGGCCTCCCAAAGTGCTGGGATTACAGGCATGAGCCATTGAGCCCTATCCCAGCTAAGTTTTTCAATTTATTTTGTGTAGAGATGAGGTTTCACTATGTTGACCGGGCTGGTCTCGAGCTCCTGGCCTTAAGCAATCCTCTCACCTCAGCCTCCCAGAGTGCTGGGATTACAGGTGTGAGCCACCATGCCTGGCCAGAATATCCTAATAATTTTACATTGATTGCATCTTGAAATAGGATTTTGGCTATATGGGTTAATTATTAAAATTAATTTCACCTGTTGCTTTTTACCTTTTTAATGTGGATACTAGAAAAAATTAAATTATACAGATGGCTTGTATTGTATTTCCCCTGGAGAACTCTGTTCTAGAGTTGATAAAGGAGAAAACCTGAAGAATTGTAGACATAAGGGCCAAAGTCAAAGCCGACAGAGGAGAAGGCCCCAGGAGAGGGTACAAGGTAAGAAGGCAGACCAGGCTGGGTGCGGTGGCTCATGCCTGTAATCCCAGCACTTTGGAAGGCCGAGGTGGATGGATCACTTTAGGTCAGGAGTTCAAGACCAGCATGACAAAACCCCGTCTCTACTAATAATACAAAAATTAGCCAGGCGTGGTGGTGCTTGCCTGTAATCCCGGCTACTCAGGAGGCTGAGACAGGAGAATTGCTTGAACCCAGGAGGTGGAGCTTGCAGTGATCTGAGATCACACCACTGCACTCCAGACTGGGCGACAGAGCAAGACTCCATCTCAAAAAAAGAAAAAAAAAAGAGTTGAAAGGCACCAGTGTAGACTCCTCTTCGAGAATTCGCCTGAGGAGCGGGGAAGAGAGAACATGATCCCGTGAAGGGGCTGACAGGGTGAAGGGAGGGATGTTTCATTTTGTGTTGTTTTCAGTGGAGAAACTTCAGTATGTTTATAGGCTGAGAGAGGGATGGGCTGAAGATAAAGGACAGAGAAAAAGGACAGAGTAAAGTACCTGAATAGGCTGGACAGCTGGATTGGTGCAGAAGTGGAGGTGTCCTCCAGGAAAGAGAGGACCCCACCCCAGCCAAGGGGTGATATGTGGATAGACGGGTGGTTAATGGGTCTGGTGGTAAGAGGGACAAGAGGGTGAGCTGAACATAGGAAGTGTTGATTATTTTACCTATCAAGCAGCAGATCAAGCCATTTGCTGATTTAAAAAAAAAAAAGAGTACAGAGCAGCTTTGGGGAAGTCTGAGAAAATGTGAAATAGCCCAGATATGGTGGGGGAGAGGCAGCTGAGCAGGGCCCACTGGGTCCCTCAGAAGCCCCAGGACAGGAGCAGGGGAGCCCAGAGCTAGGCTGGCTTCAGATCCAGGATAAGATACAACAGGAGAGGACAGGAACAGATGGGGGTGCAGGGGGGAGTGAGGTCAGGACAGGTTGACAGGCTGGCAGGGTCAAGAGGTAGAGGGACTGGAGGAGGCATGGAGGGTCTGAAAACAGAGGGGCCCCCATGGCCTTTCCCGCATTCCAATACCATGTGCTAAAAATACTGGATGAGCATAGGCCAGGTGTGGTGGCTCACGCCTGTAATCCCAGCACTTTGGGAGACCGAGGCAGGCCGATCATGAGGTCAGGAGTTTGAGACCTGCTTAGCCAACATGGTGAAACCCCGTCTCTACTAAAGATACAAAAAATTAGCCAGGTGTGGTGGCACATGCCTGTAATCCCAGCTACTCGGCAGGCTGAGGCAGGAGAATCACTTGAACCCGGGAGGCAGAGCAGTGAGCTGAGATCACACCACTGCACTCCAGCCTGGGCAACAGGGTGAGACTCTGTCTCAAAAAAATAAAATAAATAAAATAAAATACTGGGTGAGTGAATGAACCCCACATGATTCCTTGTGTCAGGGTTGCCAACTGGCAACTCATGCACCTAATTCATCCAGCGCACAGATTTTGTTTAGATAACTTGGTTTTGAAGAACAGAAGTTTCCGTCTCTCTTGAAAAATGAGCAGCTCAAGCAACACTGGCCTGCATTCCACCCTCCATGGCAACAGTCAGCTGGAGTGGCAGCAGCTCTACAGCCTTGCACAGATTGGCACTCTGCAGCCAGCCAAAGTCCCCACCGCCCTGAGTTGCCGCTCTCTTGGCCCCCGTAGCATGTGATCTACAACCCTTGCCCCGTGTCTCATGTGTATGGCTGGTTTTCCAGGGCCCGGATGGCTCCAGCCCCTCCTCTCCCTGATCAGTGAATGTGGCCCAGCCCATCCAACTCTCCCCCACAGCCAGGAGGCCAGCTCCAAGGGCAACACACCTGGAAGCTGCAACACGGATCAGTCCACTTCCCTTGTCCTGGCTGCAATAAATGGGGCCAAGGTCACACTAGCTTTTTTGGCAAAACTTCACCCTGGTGACTCACTGAGATTCCTATATATATATTTACAAAAAAAAAAAAAAAGCCCTCACTTCTTGGCACAGCCTGGCAACTAAAAATAACAACACCACAATATCCGATATAGGCTTACGCCTCACAAAGTTCTTTTACAAGTGCTACTGTCTTCAATCCTCACAACAAATCTGCACAGCAAGAATTTTTCTCCCACTCTATAAATGGGGAAACTGAGGCCGAGAGAGGCATCTTGAACTACCTGAAAGTGAGGACTTTACCCTGGCTGGGGGAGCATTAACAAGCCAGTCTTTAAAAGCTGGCAATATTTAAGCTAAGGTACAGAGCATAGAGGTTAAGGGTCAAGACTGTGATATTGAGCTGGGCACGGTGACTCATGCCTGTAATCCCAGCACTTTGGGAGGCCGAGGTGGGAGGATCACTTGAAGTCAGGAGTTCAAGACCAGCCTTGACAACATGGTGAAACCTTGTCTTTCCTAAAAATACAAAAATTGGCTGGGCATGGTGGCATGCACCTGTAATTCCAGCTACTCCAGAGGCTGAGATGCAAGAATCGCTTGAACCCAGGAGGTAGAGGTTGCAGTGAGCCGAGATTGCACCACTGTGACAAAGCAAGACTGTATCTCAAAAAAACAAAAACAAAAACAAAAAAGACTGTGATATTAGACTGCACTGGATTTAATCTTGACTTAAAGTGTGACCTTGGGCAAAAGGCTTAGTCTCAAGGAGCCTCAGTTTTCCCATCTGTGAAACTGGGATAATAATAGTACCTACTTCACAGGGCTATTGCGAGGATTTGGGAAGATGCTGCACGTAAGGGGCTTAGCATCACAGAGCCCAGGATGCATTAGGTGCTCAATGAAAATCTCAACAAAAGGAAGAGGAACACAGATGTGGGCAGGTATCAAGCATGTGGGCGGTGCCTATTTCCCTAACAGCTCTCAGAGGATGCACCCTCCTGCCTCCGAGGCTCCAAGGGTTAACAGCCCTCATGGGGCTGGAATGTCTTGTGGTAAGTGAATTACTTTGCCCTGGATTAAGGAGGGACAGGATCCAACTGCTGTCCTCACAGCTCAGGAGCCAAAGCAGGTGGGGAGGTAAGAGAGGAGTAGGGGAGGGCCAGAGACAGAGAGGAGACAGCAGCTAGAGCACCCGTCCTAATAACAAGGGACCAATACATGGGTACCACACTGGGTGCTGAGACTTGGCCTTCTTCACACAAGTCCTCCTGTTAACCAATAAGGAAGCTAAAGTTGTGGGCCGGGAGAGGTGACTCACGCCAGCAATCCCAGCACTTTGGGAGGCCGAGGCAGGAAGGTCACCTGAATTCGGGAGTTCGAGACCAGTCTGGCCAACATGGTGAAACCCCATCTCTACTAAAAATAGAAAAATTAGCTGAGCACAGTGGCACATGCCTGTAGTCCCAGCTACTCAAGAGGCTGAGGAAAGAGAGTCACTTGAGTATGGGAGGTGGGGGCTGCAGTGAGCTGAGATCGTACCACTGCACTCCATCCTAGGAGACAGAGTGAGACCCTGTCTCAAAAACAAGAAAGCTAAATTTGTGAACAGTTAAGATACTTGTGGATAGTCGCACAGCTAGAAGATAACAGAGCTAGGATTCAAACACAGCTCCAAAGCCCACGAAGGCCTAATTCTACACGATATAAGTGAGAAGTCAGGCTTTAAGCCAGGGAGAGACCTGCCCAAGGCAACTGGTCACTCAGTGGCAGGGTCAGGCTAAGAAACCTGGTGTTCCAATTCCCTCTCTCCCTTGAGCTCCATGGGCTCCACCACACACACGAACAGCCTCTCTCACCCCACCTTCCTCTAGCATGCACCTGGCTGCCTTTGCCTCCCTTCCCAGAGGCTGCCCCTTCTTTCTCTAGACCCTGGACCCTGCATAAGATGCAATAAACATGGCTACAGTCATGTTAAGGGCAGAGGCTCACTGGGGTAAGTGGCAGGGCTGAAGCAGGTGGAGAGGGAGCAACCTCACATCCCACCTGCAGTCTGGATTCTGTCCCAATCACACACTAAAGAAGAGCCCTTGTCAAGGTTACCAGCAACCTCCACATTGGCAAACCCTAAGGCCCCTTGCCAGTGCTCACTTTGCGTGGCCCATCTGCCGCTGCCCATGCCGCTGACGGCTTCTTCCTGGTGGAACCACTGCCCCCCTCTGTCATGCAGTCGGCTCTGGTTCTCCTCCCACCTCTCTGACCATTCCTTCTCAGGCTCCTTTGCGTGCCCCTCTTCATTCCTCAGGGCTCTGTCCTCAAACCATCCTTTTCTCTTTCTGTACACTCCTTCTAGACAGTGTTGACAACCACCACCTGTGTTGTGATGAACTTCAACTTTTTCCTTCCAGACCAAGCCTCTCCTGAGCTCCAGCCCCTCGCCTGTGTTTAACTATCTCCTGGATTTCCCTACAGGCATCTTGCCTCTCACCCTGTGCTGGGCCCCGTGCTCCAGAACAGCTCATCGGCGCTTTGCCCACATGTTCTGCTGGCAGAGTCTCCCCGATTCCATCTTCCACAGCCCTCTCAAACATGTGCTTTCTTCTCCAACCCCAGATCAGTCATCACCCTCTCTCTGTCCCAGATCAAAAACAGCCTCTTAACTGGTTCCTTCTTGCCAGCCTTGCCTGTCCTGCTTATGCTCCACACTGCACCCAAAATTACCTTTAAAATCCAAATCTGATCATGTCACTCCCCTGCTTGCCAGCCTTCAACATCGCCCATTGCCCTCTGGATTCATTATCAGAGCCTGATCATCAAGTTTCTCTTCAATCTCTCTCTCTTTTTTCTTTTCTTTTTTTTTTTTTTTTTTGAGACAGAGTTTTGCTCCTGTCACCCAGGCTGAGTGCAATGGTGTGATCTCAGCTCACTGCAACCTCCACCTCCTGGGCTCAAGCGATTCTCCTGCCTCAGCCTCCTGAATAACTGAGATTACAGGTGTCCGCCACCATGCCCAGCTAATTTTTGTATTTTTAGTAGAGACGGGGTTTCACCATGTTGGCCAGGCTGGTTTCGAACTCCTGACCTCAGGTGATCCACTTGCCTAAGCCTCCCAAAGTGCTGGAATTACAGGCATGAGCCACTGCACCTGGGCCTCTTCAATCTCTTTACTCTGGGTTTCCCTTCTCCCCATTTCCAGCCTTGCCCCGGATACCCCAGTGCATGGTTTCATTTGACCCCCACATATTATGAGCCCTTTCTGTCCAAAAAGACTTGATGAGAAAGCCCCCCCGCCTTACTTTCCTCGCTGCTTCCCCAGGCTCCCAGCTCAGAGGCAAGGAATGGACAATGTGACCCATGGGGTCAGAATGGGGAGGGGGTCATGGAAGGCCCTGGCAGAGCCCACCCACTTCGTGCTGCCCGCCCACTCACCATCATGACATATGTGCTCATGAACTTGGCCAGGAACTCTCGCGCCATCTTCCTCTCATCTTCCTCGCATCATATTTCCTGGATCTTTGCTATCACGGACCAGGAGACCATTTTGGAGCCACGGGTGGACCTGATACAGTGGCCCGAGCTCATGGACAGAAAGGAGACTCAAGTCTGCCTGCTGCCCATCGGCTCTTCAACTCACAGCTGAGTTAATAGGTAACCCAGCAGACTTGCCACACACACCTCCTCTTGCCCGGGGCAGCTGGGACAGCTGGAATTGGAGACACTTGCGAGCCATGGGGACATGGAGAGGAACTGGGGTAGATGGCCAAGCCATGCCCCTTGTAGTTGGGACTGGACCAGTAAAAATGGCACACCAATGAGGCCACTTTGCAGACGGGCAGGTGGGGAGCTGAAAGTGCAATCCACGGTGCCAACAAGCCTCTGGGAAAAAGTAGGGTGGGAGAGAGCAGGCTGGAAAGTAGAGCTCAGTAGTCTATGTCTGTCCATCTGTCTGTCTGCCTATCTGCTAGAGCCAGAACTTTGGGGTCACAGGCCAGGGCCTGGCAACAGTGAGGCACTCTACAAACAGCATGAAGTGTGACAAAGTCTGCTGCCGAGCTCTGTAAACAGCACTGAGCACTGAAACATGCGCCAGGTTCTGTCAAAAATGAAGGGGTCAGCAAAATGCACCAGGCTGTGCAACCAGGTCATTGCAAACAGAGGTTTGTGAGAGAGTGAGTGAATGAATGAATGAATGACCAAGAGAGCGGGAGGGAGAAAAGGAAGGACTGGATCTACTTCCTGGTGTATCTTCAGTGCCCAGCACCATGCCAGGCACATAGTAGATGTGCAATAAGTATTTGTTGAATGGGTGAAAACTGGGGAATCTGTCTTACTCCCAACTAGATCCTCAGAGCTTGCCAAAGGGCCTGGCACTTGATTTATATTTAGTTAATTGCACGGTTAGATGGAAAGGTAGATGAAACAGGTGAGTAACAGGTTCCAAATCTGCGTATAGGGAGAGGTATAGGACTGGAGTTTGGGGAAGGTGGCGGGGTGGGACTGGAGGATAAAGAGGAAGAAGAGGGGCTGGACCCGGTAGCTCACGCCTATAATCCCAGCACTTTGGGAGGCCAAGGTGGGCAGATCACCTGAGGTCGGGAGTTCGAGACCAGCCTGACCAACATAGAGAAACCCTATCTCTACTAAAAAATACAAAATTAGCCAGGCATGGTGGCGCATGCCTGTAATCCCAGCTACTTCGGAGGCTGAGGCAGGAGAATCACTTGAACATGGGAGATGGAGGTTGTGGTGAGCCGAGATCTTGCCACTGCACTCCAGCCTGGGCAACAAGTGTGAGACTCCATCTCAAAAAAAAAAAAAAAAAAAAAAAAAAGAGGAAGAAGAGGGATACAGATACCTCTAAGTGTGGCCTTAGTCACTCTGCTATCTCACTGTCTGCATGCCCGGAAGCTGACACCAGCCCCTCAACTCCTCTGGCCAGCCCATCCTTGCACATCATGTACTGCCTTAGCTGCAGGCCTTTGCACATGCCAGTCCTACACCGAGAATGGTCCCCTGCCTCCCCAGAGGCTCCTTTACCCGCCAGCCTTCTTTTCTTGACCTAAATTTCCCTTTCTCTGGGAGAGCCTCCTACCCTCTCCTCTAGGCCATTCACTTCTTCCACATGCCCCACGGTGCCCACTCTTTCAGCTGGGGCAATGCTCATCACACTGCATAGTAATTGCTCAGTTAGGCCAGGCACAGTGTCTCACGCCTGTAATCCCAGCACTTGCTGAGGCGAGCTGATCGCTTGAGCCCAGGAGTTCAAGACCAGCCTGGGCAGTATGACAAAACCTCATCTCTACAAAAAAAAAAAAATACAAAAATTAGTCAGGTGTTGTGGTGTACGCCTGTGGTCCCAGCTAATGGGGAGGCTGATGTGAGAGGATTGCCTGAGCCCAGAAGGCAGAGGTTGCAGTGAGCTGAGATAACACCACTGCACTCCAGCGTGGGTGACAGAGCGACACCCTGTCTCAAAAAAGAAAAAAAAAAAAAGCTTAATTAATTAACGGTTTTTCTTCCTAAGGGCTGGGATCATACCAGTTTGCTTCACTGCAGTGCCTGAACATAGTAGGCATAGTAGATTCAATAAATCTTTGGTTCCTTGGCTGGTTGTTGCCTGCTCTGTGCTGATGAGAAAGGAGCCAGGCTTCCAGGATTCCCTTGGTGTTCTTGGCTCCCTGCTCTGTCTAACTCTCCCCTGCCTCTATGGTACCTTCCCAGGACTGTCTTTGGGCTGCTGCTTGCATTGGTAGGGTCTCTTCTTCAGGGCTGAGGAGGCTGGTCATGGGATAATGAGACCCCTATACGATGCTGCATGGGAGCTGGAGTTGGATGGGGGCCAGTGGAATATCCGCGCAACTCTGCATCCCCCTCCATCTACTCATCCCTGGTTTTGTTTCTCTGGAGTAAGGAATAGAGCAAGGACTGGGATGGGTGAGCTATGAACAGAGGGTCTCAGCTGAAAAGTGGAAGATGTTTTATTCCATGCCTGGACGTCTCTCATTCCCTCTGCTTACTTTTTGCTGCTGTGAGGTCAGGGGAATTTAGGAGCCCTGAGGAATGCTGCTGCTCTCCCTAGCAGGGCGAGGTGACCCTCCACTGGCTCCCATCCAACCCCACCTCCCATGCTGGAGGTAACCACAGAAGAGGAGAGAGAAGTGGACAGAGCGGAAAGACAAGAACACCAAGAGAATCCTGGAAGCCTGGCTCCTTCCTCATCACCACACAGCAGGCAAGACACAGTAAGCAACAGATAACCACCAACCAGCCAATGAACTCAAGATTTCTTGAATCTACTGTGCCTAGAATGTTCAGTCACTGCAGTAAAGGACACTGGTACAATCCAGCCTGTGGGAAGAAAAGCAATCAATTGAGCAATTACTATGCAGTGTGATGAGCATTGCCCCAGCTGAAAGAGTGGGCACTGTGGGGCATGTGGAGGAAGTGAATGGCCTAGAGGAGGGGGTAGAAGGCTCCCAGAGAAAGGGAAATTCAGGTCAAGAAAAGAAGGCTGGAGGGTAAAGGAGCCTCCAGGGAGGCAGGGATCACTCTGGGCGTAGGACTGGCATGTGCAAAGGCCTGCAGCTAAGGCAGTATCCAATGTGCAGGAATGGGCTGGCCACGGAGGAGTGGAGGTGGCATGAGATGGGCAGAGAGGGGCCAGGGCCAGGTGGCAGAAGGCCTCATGGCCCACATTAGGGAGTCTGAACTCTACCAGAGGGCCATGGGCCAAGTGGAGGGTTTCAGCAGGAGAGCTGCCTCCCCTGTGGAGGCCAGGATGGAGGAAGTGGAGTGGAGGCAGGGTGAGCATCAGCTTCTCCACAGATGGGTGGAGAAGTGGTGGCAGCCTGAGCCACAAGGATGGCAGTGCCAATGGCCACAAGAGCACAGTCAAGCTGACAGGCTTGGTGTTCAGTTAGAGAGGGAAGGGAGCGGGGCAGCTCAGCGATGCCCTCAGGTCCTGGCTAGGGCAGCAGAATGACTAGCGTGGGGCACAGCAGAGAAGCTGTGGAAGAATGGACAAGGAGGCCCTTTCTGGACATGTTGAGTGTGAGGAGCCCGCTAGACACTTGGGTGGGATGGCCAGTGAGGAGGCAGCTGGTCATGTGGTCTCACTTACAGACACATTTGGAGGACAGCAAATCACAGATGGTCATCTGAGCCATGGGCATAGATGAGAGAGCTCAAGGAGAGGGTACAGACTAAGAGGGGCCCAAGAAAGCCAGCCTACAAAGCAAGAAACTGACAGCCAACCAGATCCCCTAAGTAATCTGTTAACCAAGGAACTAAATAGCTAACAACTCACTAACGCCTGTTTCTTTTCTTTTTCTTTTTCTTTTTTTTTTTGAGACAGGGTCTCACTCTGTCACCCAGGCTGAAGTGCAGTGGCACAGTCACAGCTCACTGAAGCCTAGACTTCCCAGGGTTCAAGTGATCCTCCCACCTCAGCCTCCCAAGTAGTTGGGACTACAGGAGCATGCCACCATGACCGGCTATTTTTTCCTATTTTTTGTAGAGATGGGGTTTTGCCATGTTACCAAAGCTGGTCCCAAACTCCTGGACTCAAGCAATCCTCCAGCCTCAGCCTCCCAAGGTGCAGGGATTTCAGGCATGAGCCAACATGCCCGGTGGCTTATTAACCCTTTGACTAACCTATCAAAAACCAACTAACTGATTCTCCTGTTAACCAGCTATTAACTCATTGAATTATCTAATCAACCAGTCAACCATAAACTATCCAACTAACCACGAGCCAACAATTCAACCTGCTAACCAACATTTCTTCATTCAACAAACATTTGTTGGCCAGGCATGGTGACTCATGCCTGTAATCCCAACACTTCAGGAGGCCGAGGCAGGTGGATCACTTGAGGTCAGGAGTTCAAGACCAGCCTGGCCAACATGGCAGAACCCCATTTCCACTAAAAATAAAAAAAAAATTAGCTGGGCGTGGTGGCAGGCACCTGTAATCCCAGCTGGGGTGGGGGCTGAGATGTGAGAATCGCTTGAGCCCAAGAAGCAGAAGTTGCAGTGAGCCGAGATCATGCCACTGCACTCCAGCATGGGCAACAGAACAAGACTCCATCTCAAAAAAAGAAAAAATTTTTGTTGAGCACCTACTTATGAGTCAAGCACCAGGGATACAAAGTCAAAACCCACTCTCCACTCTTGGGTCACTCTGTTTAATAGAAGAGATGGGTAATGGCAACACCACCAGAGAGAAGCAGCCTGGGACTGGGGGAACTCAGGGGAGGCATGGGAGGTGAGGCCTGAAGGGAGTTTTGAAGAATGGGCGGGTGGTGGCCTGACATGGCCATGGGGGAGTAGGGTGGTGGTAGAAAGAATGGTGGAAGCTGTGCACATTCTAGATATTTTAGGAGATTGGTGACTGGATGTGAGGCATGGGGAAGAGGGAAGTATCAAGGACATGACCTTGACTTCTGGCTTGAGCAACTGAAGAGAAGGGGACCCCTGACTGAGCCAAGAGCACAGGAGGAGTGGACTTGTGGGGGGCGGAGGAGGCTGTTTCCATCTAGGAGCTGAGTTGCCTGTGAGACACCAGTGGGTCTCTAGAAACAGGATCTAAAGCCCTGGAAAGAGACGTAGGCTAGAGGCAATGATGTCAACAGAGGGGCACTATTCATTCTCTCCGTGCAAGTGTACAACAGGCAAATATCCCTGCTTGCGTGGAGCTGACAGCAATGAAATGTAATAAGTAAGTACATTTGTATAAGCGAAGGTACCAGCTCCTATGGGAAAAAACAGAGCAAGGAGAGGGGAATTGGGAGTGCAGGGGCTGGAGATGGGGTGTGATTTCAAATAGGGCAGTCAGAGTAATCCTTGTTGAGAAGGTGGCCTTGGAGCAAAGCCATGAAGGAGATGAGAGTGGGCTGTATGTTAACTGCAGAAAGCCTCTCAGATGGAGGGAATAGTCACCAGAGGACTCTCAGCATGTTTGAAGAAAGCAAAGAAAGTCAGTGTGAGGCCAGGTGCAGTGGCTCACACCTGTAATCCCAACCTTTTGGGAGGCCGAGGCGGGTGGATCACCTGAGGTCAGGAGTTCAAGAACAGCCTGGCGAACATGGCGAAACCCCATTTCTACTAAAAATACAAAAAAAAAAAAAAAAAAAAAAAAACAAAAAAAAAACAACTAATTAGCTGGGCATGGTAGTGTGTGCCTGTAATCCTGTAATCCCAGCTACTCAGGAGGCTGAGGCAAGAGAATCGCTTGAACCCGGGAGAAGGAGGTTGCAGTGAACCAAGATCTTGCCATTGCACTCCAGCCTGGGCAACAGAACTGGATTCCATCTCAAAAAAAAAAAAAAAAAAAAAAGAAAAAGAAAACCAGAAAAGAAACTCAGTGTGGCTGGAGGAGGGAGAGCAGGGGGCTGGAGTGGGGAGGCCAGAAAGCTAACAAGGACTACATAGGCAGGGCCTTGGCCATTGCAAGGACTGGCTCTTTTTCACCCCAAAGACAGCTGAGCCTGAGAGGGTGAGAGGTGCTGAGTGCAGTTGAGTTGAAGGCCACCTGCATGCCTTGACCCTCATCCAAGTATTTCTGAGCCTCCCCTCACCCCAGGACCCAGCCCAGGCAACAGGTGGAAGATGCTTTTCTTCTGGGACCTCAGAGGCGAGTGGGTGGGTGGGGAGGAGGAGGTCGAGGGGGGACAGCTGCCCCAAGGGAGAGGCTGAGGATGGAGCAGGGAGGGCACTGAAGTGGGCTGGGTGGAGGACAGGGGGCTGGAGGGTGAGAAGAGGGTGGGGTACTTACCGCCTGTGCCCAGATGCTTGAACCATGTTTTGTCCTTCAGATTTGTAGATGCTGAAGAGCCAAAGAGAGGTCACTAGGGCTGGAGGACACAGAACTTGGCCCCACACTTCCATCAGACCTTTGTCCCCAGGGGAGAAGCCCTGGGGCAGCTCCTGCTAGTGCCACTCCCTTAACCCAGCCAAGGAACAGGGAGGGAGGAGCGGTGCTCAGCCAATGAGGCGACGCCCTGGAGCCCCACCCCACCCATGCTGGCCCCAGGACCCCAACCCCAGGCCAGACCCTCCAGTGCTCCTGCTGACCTTCCCTGTCTGCAGCCCAGCTTTGGACTGTGGAGATGCCCTCAGCCTCTACTCAGTGGCTCCAGCCTCATATTTGCGTGCTATACCTTTAACCTCAAGTTCTCTTGCTGCTAACTTAAGCTGTGACTGTCCAGGACCTGCACACACACATATATGCACGCATGCACACACACACACACACACACACACGCAGAAGGTGAACACACAGGATGAGGCCCTGAAAACTCATTTCACCCGTGTACCTCACCCAAAAATTCCCCTTTGTACTCCTATCTTTATCTCTAACAGACAGCATGAAGGTAGCCCGAAGTCCCCTCACCCTGTCTGTCCTCCTGATTCTCTAGCCCAGTTCCCTCTAGCTCCAGCACAGACTCTTATCTCCAGCCCTGACTGCTGAAACCCTCCAGCCCCAGCTCCAGCCCCTCAGGAGGGGACTGCGTGGGAGGAATGACTCCAGCAAGCCGGCAGCTGACCCGTGTCTGGCCTGCATGCCTCCCCCTGTGGTCCACTGCCGGTGGTCTTCAGCTCTCTCCTCGTCCCACCCCCATGGTCTGCTGACAGCCCAGCCCAGTGCATCCCTGCCATCTCTGCTCTACCGCTGGTCCTCCCAACAACCAACTTACAGGTAAGGAAACTGAGGCCCAGAGAGAAGGTGTATGTGCCTGTGTCACACAGCAACACAGGACTGCACCATAACAAGAAAGCCGGGACTTCCACTCCCAGCCGGGGCTCCTTCCCCAAACAATCCCTCAGTCACCTCCTCGCTGTATGGTACCCAGGGAATGACCCTTCCAGATCTGGGCACTGAGGAGGCTGCCCCATCCCCACCCTGCCTGGAGCCCCACTCACTCTGCTGAAATGTCTTCTGATTCTCAGCCTCTGCCTTGGGGGCTTCTCAGTTAAAGCGCATCTTGATCTTGTTCCTCTGTGACTGTCTCTGGCTCAGCTTCCACCCCCAGCTGGGGCTCAGCTATCCCTGTGTCCCCAGTCCAGAGCCTGCCTCTCAGCCCTCCCAAGGCGGCCTTGAGCGCTGCTCCTGCTCCTCCAGGGGAGAGGTCAGTAAGGCAGGGATTTGGCTGGTGCCACTTGAACCAAGTCCAGATGCACTGCCCAAAATAACATCCCTCGTCTGGCCAGCAGTGCAGTGGAGACTGAGTTCTGAAGCAGGCCTTTGTGAGGTCAGAGGTGGAGTTCTGGGTGGGCACTCTGGGCCTCACAGTCCCAGAGGAAAGGCCTGTCCTCCAAGCCAATGTGCAGCCTGACTCTGGGGCCAGCGCCTGAGGAAGCCCTCCCTGAGCCCCAGCCCTGGGGAAGGCTGAAGAGGCCTCTGAGCTCCCAGCGCTGGGGAGCGCTGTGCAGAATAGGACTGGAGGTGGAAGTGTTGGAGATTAACAGCCAGATGGAGGGGACGGGGGGAGGCCCTGGGTCAGTCCTCAGGGAACCCCCATTCTGAAGGGGGAGAGGGAAACTCAGGCCCAGTCCTCAGGGGCCCCCAGTCTGAGAGGAAGGAGGACACACGAGCCATATTTGCAGAGAAACACCAGCCTGCGAGAGGAGGTAGAAGCCCAGGCCTGGCCCTCCGAGGGCCCCTAGTCTGAGGAGCAGTCCACCTGCCCTCGGGAAAACACCTCCCTTAGGAAAGGCCAGCAAGGCCCCCGTAAAGGAGCCACAGCTGGATCGGGGCATGGGGCTCGGGGCCCAGCGGTGTGGGAGCTCCGGGACCGAGGTGCAGTCAGGAGAGACCCTGGGGGCCAGTGGCAGTCCAAGAGGACTTTTGGAGCCAAGGCCTGACTGGGTCTCAAACAATGGGGCAGGCAGTTTGGGGTTTCAGCAGGTGGCCCAGTGCTGAGACACAAGGGAGTTGTTTCTGGTCTGCAGACACTGAGGACACTTGCTATGTGGCGTGGTGGATGGTGGGTAAGTCCTGGGAATTTCTGGCACCAGGTTCCCTGGGTGGGAAGGGGCATAGGATTCAGTTGTCCAAAGCTCAGGTGTGGGAATGGAACTGTCCTGTAGAGGGTGCCAAAGACCAGGTCTGGAAACTGCATAGCCCCAGTCCCCACCCCCACACACACCATCCCACCCCTTCCAGCTTTTTCTGCAGATCTTTCTGCAGGGGTGAGGCAGGGAGAGGAAGGGGTCGGCCGCAGTTCTGGGGCTTCCTAGTCAGAAGCCCTCTGTAAGGCACTAACTTCCCTCTTCCCTCTGCAGATTTTTTTTTTTTTTTTTTTTTTGAGACGGAGTCCTACTCCACCCAGGCTGGAGTGCAGTGGCACAATCTTGTCTCACCACAGTCTCTGCCTCCCAGTTCAAGTGATTCTCCTGCCTCAGCCTCCCAAGTAGCTCGGATTACAGGCATGCACCACCAAGCCCAGCTAGTTTTTTTGGATTTTTAGTAAAGACGGGGTGTCACCATATTGATCAGGCTGGTTTCGAACTCCTGACCTCAGGTAATCCACCCGCCTCGGCCTCCCAAAGTACTGGGATTATAGGTGTGAGCCACTGTGCCCGGCCTCCCTCTGCAGATTCTACATGGGCTCTAGGCAGCCTCTAAATTGCCTGAACACCTAAGGCTTATTTGCTAGTTGACATCCGATCTATTCTGACACTGAAAATTTCAGTGCTTTAGGGTGCTAAAAGGAAAAAAGAGGGTTTGCAAGGAATCCTGCAGTTGCTGAGGGGGTACCCTGATAAGGGAATTTTAAGCAATTACAGTAAGTGTCACTAAACTTTTAAAAAAATCTTTAACCAGATTAAACTTACACAATTTTGTTATAATTTGTGTTTCTGCAGCTTCCAATTGTGGACAAGATAAGGACCATTGCCCAGGCTGTCTATGGAGCCAAAGATATCGAACTCTGTCCTGAGGCACAAGTCAAAATAGATCGTTACACTCAGCAGGTAAAAGTTGTACTTTTAGGGGAAAAGAAAAAATTCACCTTAGGCTCTCAGAATACTCAGCTTGACTTGAGGATTTGTACATGTCTCACCAGCTAACCTTTGCTTAATCTATTTTCTGGTTAACAAAGATGAAAGCAATATCCTCGGGTAGAGTGTAAACTATATTTAGAACTTTATGGTGAGGCATGTATCCTCTGATCCATGCATCATTTACTTCTGTGACTATAAATGTGTCTGATATGGGTGGTATCCCTGTTTGTAGGTGATGTGTGATCTTTCATCCCTCCCACTCAGCCCAGAACGTTGAAACTATCCTTTGGAGTAGAGCTGCGGAGTCAGATTTGCATGAATTGCAATGCTTCCTCTTCCTTACAGGCCTCTTACTACCTTAAAAATGCTAGCAAGGTGCCAGGGTAGGCAGATAGGAGTGCAGCCTATAAAGATGGGAATGTTTGCTGTTCTTATGCAAGCGGTTCATTGGCTTTTTACTGAGCTGGTCCACTGAGGTTGAAGGCTCCATCATCTTCTACCTCTAGCCACTGAGAAAGGCAAGTAGGCAAACAGCTGGGAAGGTGGCTACGATCTGACAGCATGTGTCATCACCTAGTCCAGTGACAGTCATGATGAATCAACTCCATTATAGGAGGCTCAGCCACCTTTTACCAAAAGGATCATGTGCCTCCAGTGTCCCTCCTACTTTGGTGTAATCAGATAGATAGAAGTCAGAACATTTTAAGAGCCTGTTGGCTAAAGAGCTTCATGATTGGTAGTGTTGACCTTATCTTTAAAAACAATCTCCAACTCCTTATTCTTTTTTGTAAACCCATTTGAAATTTTGTTAAATGTTACCATTGCCAGCCAGGGTATTTGTTCTCCTAGGTTTGGTAAAATAGGAACTCAGAAAGTTCTAAATTCTTAGAATTTTCCCTGATGTTCTTGGCTTACCCTTTACAAAAAGGATTCCCAAGCACTGCTCTGTGCCTAGGCATTGTGGTGAAGTTTTCATTCATGTGCAATGAACCAAGTAAAATAAGGTCATTCTCATGAGGTTGCTTTGTTTTTTATTCCCCGAGTTTTTAATAATGATATTTAAGACTATCATTTATTGTAATATTAAGTCTTTTCTCCTTTCAGTGTTAAAATGTTATTTCTTTTATGAAGTAATCTGGTGACAGTATATAGCATACTGGTTGGTTTCTGTTTCTTTTTAATATGCCTACTAACAAAATTTTTACATTAGCAAACCTATAGAAATTACTTTAATATTTAACCATGTCTGAAATTCAAAATTCTGGCACCATTCTGAAAGGCAGTTGTGATTCTCACTCAGCAAAATTCTTATCAGTATAGAAGAGTGGAGATTTCAAAAAGAAAATGGCCCCAAGCCCAAGTCCTCCCTAAGTTGATAAGACTCTAAGATCTTCCAAATAGTTTTAGGCTAAGTCTTATGAAAATTTGACTAAAGATTTCATTCCCTTTATCTCTATCAAGGAAATACTCCTTAAAAGTCGTGTCAACCAGGCACGGTGCTCACACCTGTAATCCCAGCACTTTGTGGGGGCAAGGCAGAGGATCAGTTGAAGCCAGGAGTTGAGACCACTCTGAGCAACATAGCAAAACCTCCATCTCTATTTTTATTTTTTTTAAAGTTAGTGCCAAGTATGTGGTTGCAATGAATTAGCAAAGCCTCTGAAGGAACACTGTGTGCCATTTAATCAGAAACAGGCTTATAGGACACTGTGCTTTTTGTGAGACACCACATGTGACTTCCTGCTCTTTCACCTTTGGAACTCTGGGTCAGACATAGACTTTTGTCCTTAAAAACAAGAAGCTTAAATAGTGACCTCATCTTAGCTCTTGTAATGTAGTTGCAGATCAAATAACCATGATTCATAAACCAACACAAAGGAACCCTTTGCTTCTTGACTGACTCCAGAATGAGTGAACAACATGACTAAGAGCCTAGTCGCAGAGCCTTTCTCCAGACTACCTTGCTGGGTCCCGGATATTAATAGTCTTGGAAAGCGGTTTCTACAGCTGCTGCTTTGCCTGCAAATAGCAATGCTTTTCCCAAACATGCACATAACACTGCCTTCTCTTAACGAGAACCTCCAAAATAAACAATAGTCACCCCTGACCTACTAAACAGTCATCACATGGAGATGAGTTTTTATCCTCACCTTCTTGCTTCTTCAGTGAACAAGTAGTAACAAGCAGCTCCTGCGTGTGCCTCGATCTGAGCTGGCATACCATTGCTGCCGAGACTGTATAAAGTGCAAATTGAAAAACACAGGAGACTCACGTCTATATCAGTGAACACATTTTCTTTCCTTTCTTACAGGGTTTTGGAAATTTGCCCATCTGCATGGCAAAGACCGATCTTTCTCTGTCTCACCAACCTGACAAAAAAGGTGTGCCAAGGGACTTCATCTTACCTATCAGTGATGTCCGGGCCAGCATAGGTGCTGGGTTCATTTACCCTTTGGTCGGAACGGTGAGTGAGTCACATTTTCCAAAATCCCTCCCCATTCTGCATTGTCGCAGTGCCTCAAATCGTTATGCTCCACCCGCTCTTTAAAAATCATGGATTAGGGAGAATTGGGAGTAATTAATAGTACAGTATTCGCTATTTTTCTAAACACTCTGTCTCACCTACCTTTGCCATTGTGCTTTGGGTTTTTCTTTTTTTAGATCATGTGTTCAGGATCCTTAGAGTCATAATACTAATTTCCTTCCTAAGGCAAGTAAGAACATAACTTGGGAGAATTCAGTCTATTTAAATGGTAGAATGGCTTAGGACAGTGGTTGTCAACCTTTATCACACATAGCACCCAAAATGATGTAATCAGTAGGGTTGAATGCTCACACCAGACAGGATCTGCCCAGTCACCCTAAGGGCTGGGGAAAGCAGTCCTCACCCTCTCACTTCCCCAGCACATCAGGTGGGAAGTTCTGGCTTAGGAAATTACTGAATCATATGAATTCTCATTTTTGATGTTGTTGTGATGGGATTATGTTGCTATTGGTTGATTATTCTGTTATTTTGTGTTATCTATGGAGGTAAACGAGATGAGCAGAGATATAAAAGCTTATCAAAGTGCTTAAAATCCATGAAGATTGGCTTCATTTGGTATAGCTACACAGTGATAGCCTTCCGTTGGTACCATCAGTGGCCTAAATTTGATTTCTTGTCTTTGGGAGTGCTCCTGAATTTGGTTTAGAATAAAAAAGAATTCTTAAAACCTGGCAGATCCCATGGCAAGAAAAGAAAAAAAATTCTAACCCATCATTATCATCATCATTAGTGCAAAGTGATCTGAGCTTAAACAGCATACATTATAATAATTTTTTATAATAAACCATGTGGCTCTATTGTGCAAACAAGCAATAGACAGACAAAAAGTGCAGATTCTTGCCTTGATATTTACAAGCTTCATCTAATATTGGACACAATGTTTTTTCAATCAGCATCATTTGAATTCTTCCTGCATGTGAGGCACAGAGATTTTAAGATGAGCAGGTGTGAGATGCATGGATTTGAATAGCATAGAGGTATCTGGAGAGCATTGTGTTGGTATTCTGAATGCCCTCAGATCCCAGGGGGATAACAGCTCATTATGCCTGGGGTAGAACTTACCTGGGCTGTGGAAGAAGAGGGGATTCTTCAAAAAGGGCTCAACCTCTGAACTGGCAAAACAGTGAGTTTTGACTCAAAGGCACCAGAGTACTAATACATGACATCCTCTCCTGGGGTGATCCAATGTGGCTGGAGTTGGATGAGGTGGGGAGGCTGGGGATGGGAATGGGAATGGGATTGGGATAGCAGGACGGGGTCACATGGCCAAGGATCTTGAAGACCATCTCACGGAACTTGAATCTGATCTCTACACACTGAGGAGCCACGGTAGGGTGGGTTTTTTGTTTGTTTCTTGGTTTTTTATTTTTTTGATTTTTTGTTTTTAAAGAAGGAGGAGAAGAATGTGGTCTGATGTGTATTTTAGAAAAATAGCTCTGGCAGCAATGTGGAGAATGTTTAGTGAAAAGAGAACCAGGCCCAGAGAGGTGGGTTAATTCAGCTGGGGCCAGAGGAAATCAAGGTCCGCACTTTGGCCACAGAAGTAGATACAGAGAGTGGGGGTGAATTGCAGACATACTCTAAAAGTATCCTCCTACAGTAGGGGCCGGGTGAAGGGACTGTTCTAGCTTGGTGACTGGCTGGTGATGCCATCACCGTGTCATGGAAAGGACACGGGAGGAGGCAGATTGGCCAAGCCAGAAATGAGCCTGGCTTGAAGAGAGAGAGCTCAGAGGGTTAATAGGATCTAAGGAACAGTCTGTGTCTCCACTGGAAATACAGATACAGCTCTCCAAAGAAAGGGGCAGGAAGGTCGCCCTGGTGGGTTTAAGGATATGGGTGAAGGCACTCATTAAACAAGAGACACAGGGATAGCTGGAAATCAGTGAGAAGAGAGTAAAGGAAGACACCCCTGAAACACCCACTTTAATGCAGCCGACTCCTGGCAGGGGTGCCTTCCAGAAGGCAGGAAGGAAGGAGCAGGGGCATGGCAGAGAACGTCCAGAAAAATCCCACAGACACCGCTCACAGCAATGTTGACACAGAGAGAAGGGTCCAGATGAAATGGGTTCTGAATGACATTTTCAGGTCTACAGTTCAGATCAGCAGTTGCCAGGAGTTGGGGGAGGGAAGTGTTTGACTGCAGAGGGGCAGGAGGGAACTTTTTGGGATAATGGAAATATCCTATGTTTTGACATGGTAGTGATTCCATGGCTATATACATTCTTCCAGACTCATAGACCTATACACGTGTGTTGCCCAGGCTGGACTCAAACTCCTGATCTCAAGCAATCCTCCCACCTCAGCTTCCCAAGTTGCTGTGACTATAGGTTCGTGCCACTGTGCTGGGCCTGTGTATCATTTAGTTATACCTCAGTTAACAAAAATGGGTACTGAAGAGCTTGCTGTATATTCCTTAGAATGGCCTCAGTCAGCCGGGTGCAGTGGCTCATGCCTGTAATCCCAGCACTTTGGGAGGCCAAGGTGGGGGGATCACAAGGTCAGGAGTTTGAGACCTGCCTGGCCAAAAGGGTGAAACCCCATCTCTACTAAAAATACAAAAATTTGCTGGGCATGGTGGCGGACACCTATAATCCCAGCTACTTGGGAGGCTGAGGCAGGAGAATTGCTTGAACCTGGGAGGCAGAGGTTGCAGTAAGCCAAGACTGCACCATTGTGCTTCAGCCCGGGTGACAGAGCAAGACTCCATCTCTAAATACATACATACATACATACATAGAATGGCCTCAGTGATGGCCACTTTACTCCTGAGCTTTAGTTGGCAAAGGCCTTGGCTTAGGGATAAGAGGGTGGCTGGACAGTGCAGGCCCAGAGAGACTGGACCATCAGGGGAAGTGAGGGGTGATGGAGGTGCCCAAACAGAGCATGAAATGGTAGAGTAGATGAGAAGGTTAGCCTCTATCACGATCTGTCCTGTCCTACCCTCTGCGGACTCTAAACCCCGCAGCAGTTCACCCAACAAATTCATTCACTCGGCCAATGCTGCATAAGACACTCAGCTCGGGGCTACAGGAAGCCCCAACCTAAAGAAACTTTCTCTGCTTCAGGTAGTTTACAGCTGGTAGACGCAGATAGAAGTGAATTAGCAAAGAAAATAGTTTGATATAAAAATTGTGCATTTAACTGCAACCTTAATTCACTTCTGAGCATTTAATAGCCATTAAACAAAAACCAGGGCCCACACAGTGGTTCACACTTACAATCCAAGCACTTTTGGAAGCCAAGGTAGAAGGATTGCTTCAGGCCAGGAGTTCAAGACCAGCCTGGGCAACATAGCCAGACTGTATCTCTACTTAAACCAAAATTAGCCAGGAGTCATGGTACACACCTGGAGTCCCAGCTACTCAGGAGGCTGAAATGGGAGGATTACTTGAGCCCAGGAGTTTGAGGCTACACTGACCTATGATCATATCATTGCACTCCAGCCTGGGAGATAGAGTGAGACCTCTGTCTCTAAAAAAATGGAATAAAATAATAAAAAACACAATATAATTTAAAATCTTTGGAGTCACTAAACAAATATACAATGTGAATCTCCTCCCACTCCAGCTAACACTACCATATCCAACACCAGGTAAAGACCAAAGCCGTTCTGGGAAATCAGAATCTGTTGCCATGGCTCATGCCTGGACACCAGGCTGTCCGCTCCTGATGTCACTCTTTGACTTATGACTTGTTAGAAAATGAATGCGTGGAATGGCCCTGGAGGAGCCGCTGCAGCTCTCTGGGTTTCCTGAAGTGAGCCCTCTGTGTCATTATCTGGTCTTCTCAGCCCTCAGCCGAGTTCCTCCTGTGGCCACATGTGGGGTCGCAGTGAGCATCAGTGCACAGTGATAAAATCTGGAACAACAGGGTGTTGGGTGTGAGGGAAGGGAGTGGTGCCTGACTACAGAAGTTCCTGGAGGTCAGGAAACTCTCACTGGAGGCAGTGGCCCTAGAGGGCTGCTTTCTATGACAGAGCAGGAAGCTGCATGTGTACTGGGACACATGCAGCAGAGGGGCCAGGATCTCCTAATAAGGACTGGTATTTACTTTTACTTGAACCCATTCTGGGCCTTACCACAGTGTGCTGAAATGCCTTGAACATTCATCACCCATGTGGGAGAAAGGATAGTAATTTCCTGCTGAGATGACTGAGGGGACAGGGAATGGGGACACCAGGGGGACTGGCTCCTGCAGGTTGGAAAATTCTAGCAAAACGAATCACTCTTCTGCTTAGTCACCCAATGTGCGCTTATTAGAGTGCTGCTGAAAAACATATTCGTCTATCCATTCCAGAAAGATAGTCCAAACTGAGACCTCAAGATCAGAAAGGCTCCCAATCTCCTGCAGGGTTCATTCACTTACTCAGTGAATTATTAAATGCCTACAGCACGCAGGGCCATCAGCCCAACGGCTATGAGAAAGAGATTCAGTCCTTTCCTCACAGGCCTTATGATAGACTCCAGTAAATAAAACAATACAGGCACAGAATGTGGCAGGCTTTATAAGAAAGCCTCTCTTTTTGTGTCCTCAAGGGAAGCAGAGAATCTCCCCTCTGGCTCTAGTTGGAGAATCCCAACCCAAGCAAGTCCATCTTTGAACAATAAACATCTCCAGTACTGCTGGCTTTGGAAGACCCCATGGTGAGATGCTGGAGCTTTTTTCCACTCCTGATTTCACTTTCTAAATATTTACTTTTACTTTCCATGTTCACTTGTAGGCCAGATTTTTTTTTCCTACCATTGAATTATTTCATCATGTTCTATTTAATTATTGTTTTAATTGGCATTGGTGACCACAAATAATAATAAATACTATTAACTGATGTAACAGCTTCACTAGTCTATTTAACTTCCCCATGCTGTTGTAACTGAAGCACCCAGCACAAGCATTCCCAGCTCGTGGACGTCTAAGACCTTTGAGGTCATTCTTACATGCATTGCTAGTGTTTTCCATATTCCTTGATGGTAACCAATTTTTCCTTCCTAAAATAACTTTCTTCATTCCTAGTAAGCTTCATATGTATTTTGTGTATTCTTCCCTCTTTTTTATGACATTATACATATTATTGAAAGCTAGAAAATAATACAAGATGCTTGACTGACATAATACCACTTAGTACATCTTTTTGTAAGAAATAGATTTTCTAATACAAATCTTTGATATAGGAAGAAATGAGCAAGTGTTTTTTAAGGTTTTCCAACCCTATATTCTACTACAAATTACCCTGTTATCGTATGCTTCCAAAATTCTTTCAAGGATTACAGTTTATAGTGTTCAATAAACCTAATAGTTTATAAAACTTCTCAAAAAATAATCTCATGCCAAAAATAATTTAGTAGTAGGTGGTCTTTGTCTTGTGGTCACATTGTTTTGATATTGTCTTTAAGTTTCTGTAATTTACAAGGGCTGTTTAATCAGTTGGCATAAATTTCATGACAAAAATGCTAATATGTAAGCAAAGAATATGAAATGATATTTTTGAGAAGTAAATTACATTCCATATAGAAAAAGACTAGAAAGACTACACCAAAACCTTAAATTAGACAGTGATATTATGAGTAGCTTTTTTTCTTCTCTTTTTTGTATAGATCAAATTACTACGTTGGGTGTATATCACTTTTATAACATGAAAATACAGTAAATAGGGCGATGATAAACTGCAAGTGCTTGGGGAGAAGGCTTAACTCAGGCCAGTTGCAAGAGAGTGAGAACACACACGCAGCCTGTGGGAGCGGGCTCCGTGCCATCACCTGGCCGGTCCTGGCTGTGTTGCTGTGTTTTCGCACCTCAAAAGTTGGGACAGCAAGGAAAGGCCATAAGAGCTAGAATGTTTCTATAAGAAGTGTATTCAGTATGATTTGTCTAGCTCTGACTAATGTGTGCAAACCCCAGATTCCACTAAGCAAATGCAAGATTGTTTTTCCCTGTTAATTTTTTCCTGGGCCCTTCTTGCTTACTGTGTTGGGCATTGGAGAGGGGGTGATTGACTTCTTTCTTCTCACAGTGTTTTCTCTCGCTCTCTTTTTTTTTTTTTTTTTTTGAGACAGAGTATTGCTCTGTCACCCAGGCTGGAGTGCAGTAGCATGATCTCGGCTCACTGCAACCTCCACCTTCCAGGTTCAAGTGATACTCCTACCTCAGCCTCCCAAGTAGCGTGGACTACAAGTGCATGCCACCACATCTGGCTCAATTTTTATATTTTTCATAGAGACTGGGGTCTCACCATATTGGCCGGGCTGTTCTCAAACTCCTGACCTCAAGTAAGCCACCACGCCCAGCCATCTCTCACAGTGTTTTTTAAAACAACAATGCATTTTCACAACAGTTGGCCTGGAGAGGTGTCCAACCAAGTTGGAATTCATAGCAGATATCCATTTGAAGTTAATTTTTGGTGTATTTGACTGTTTTCCATTGACTTCACATTGAGGCAGTGAGAGAGACTTGAAGAACTTAGAATATGAACCCTTTTCTCACTGGCAAACATGGGACATAGAGGCATGTCTTGACAGCAATTTATGGCAACACTCTGGGCTGGAATCTAGGGGTTAGGCAGCCTGGCCGGTTTTGTAAATTAGGCCACCCTCAGAGTCAGTTTGAGGGTTTAGTGGGAAGCCTGAATAAAAAGAGAAGTTAAACTTTTAAGAAAAGGGTCAAGCTTTAAAACTGGAATTGGCTTTTCAAATTTAATGAGTAAAAAGAAACCCCAAAACTGGAATTGTAATTGTGGAGAAGTACAAATTATAATATTTGGAATATCATCTACAAGGAATGAAACTATCCAGAAGCATTTAGATGGTAGTCATTGATTGTAGGGCATCTCTGGGGGCAGGGTGGCTCCTGGCACTGTAGAGAAAGACCATCGGTGCTTCCGTCTCCCAGTTGGAGGAAAGGGATACACTGTGGAGGTCCCAGCAGCTTAGGGCCTGCCCCCATGTGGTTATGTCTGCATGGTTTCCTTCCCTCTGTCTTCCTGTAACTCTTTCACCCTGGCCCCTGTGCCCTTTCTGGGCAGAGGGTGACAGGAGGCACTGCATGGGTGCATTCTTTTTTTTTTTTTTTTTTTTTTTGAGACAGAGTCTTACTCTGTTGCCTGGGCTGGAGTGCAGTGGTGTGATCTCGGCTCACTGCAACCTCCATCTCCCAGGTTCAAGCGATTCTCCTGCCTCAGCTTCCCGAGTAGCTGGGATTACAGGTGGCCACCACTACGCCCAGCTAATTTTTTCCAATTTTAGTAGAGACGGGGTTTCACCACATTGTTCAGGCTGGTCTCAAACTCCTGACCTCGTGATTCACCCGCCTCAACCTCCCAACGTGCTGGGATTACAGGTGTGAGCCACCGCCCCCGGCCAAGTACATGCTTTTTTTCCTCTTGTTGGGATTGGCCTGGGCTATACCTATCTCATGGTGGAAGCCTGCCTAGGGACCAGGCCCTAGAAGACCAGCAGTTTATTTAACTGGGTTGGCCTTTGTCCCCACTCCCTGTGACCCGGCCCTGCCATATCTTTACCCAGGTGCACCACTGACATCATGGCTCGGCTGGACTCTGGAAAGCAGGAAATTGCTGGAGCATGTTTGGGCATCAATGATGTCATCCGCTACGAATGCCGGGTGGGGTTACTGGACTGAGGGCCATGAAAAAAGAAAGCTGCGGCCCTGCCCCGTGGACTCACTGCCATTCTGTTCTTTCTCACGTTTCAGTTCAGCTCACTTTGTTTTCCGTCCCCCTCCCTCTACTGTAAAAGTATGTACTCAGTGTTTCATTTCCTGCTGGATCTGATTCAGGTCAGTGATGAAGTTCTTTGCGAGCTCAGTGGGGAGGCGTTTCCTCCCTTTCATACCGGCCCTGCTTAGGGATGCATGGTTGGTTATATACTTGCTTCACTCGGTTAGGCATGGAGGAGAATTCATTCAGACCTCATAGGTTTAAATCAAATGCATGACCCTTCACATTTTCCAGAGATTTAGACAGTTACAGTGAGACAATTAAACATTCACCCCCCAAGCTGCACTTGGAGATGTGTAAGCAGTAATGTAGTCATGCGCTCCCCATGATATGAGAGTGTGCAGAATGCCACTCCCCACAGCAGGTCCACCAGGACCTCCTCAGGGAGCATCTTGCCTACAAAATCACCCATCCCTTTTCCCCCACTTTCTTCACTTTCCCTACGTTTCCACTCCCACACCCACAAATAAACAAAGAAACTTTGAGCTTATTTTACAAAAGTCTTTGAAATGGCCCTCCTCTCTCCGATGCTCCTGGGCCCTGGTTTGGCCCCATCTGTGCAGTCTCTCTGATGAGTGTGAAATAAGCCAGGTTTGGCTCATGCTCTCCCTGTGAGCTTGCTCTCCCCGTGAGCCTGCCCTCTCCATCTGGCCTCACTTTGTTTGTGTCCCTGGGTCCTTTGTCTCTGATCCTGGGATCCTGGTGGTTTCCTCCTCCCCGCCCAGCTTGGGTCCTTTTCCCCAGGGTTCTTCCCTATCTCTACATCAGAATTTCCTGCTTTCTCCCAAATATGCATTTCCCTGGCCCAGGCATCCATTGCTTCCTCTCATCGTGAGGTCCCTGCAGCAGACTGCCAATGGTGTTGTGGCCATGCCTTCCTCCACAACCCAGGGAAAGCTACATGTGTGTCTGTCCCATAGGGAAGGAGTCATCCCTGTCTCTTCAGTGTGGCATGTTCAGGAGGAAGGAAAGTAACCAGCGTCATTCTCAATTTACGGAAACTGTTTATCATATTGACAAGAAGAAGAAAGCTTTGCGACTCATGAGAATGATGTTTTCTTCTCTGGTACATAAGGTTATGTAGGTCCAATCCATTGTGTAGAAGATCTTTTCTCCCTTAATGGGATGTACACTTATTTTTAGCACAAGTATAAAACTACTTTAAATGAAGTCAGCCTCAGCCAGGGAAATATGCTGAGTAATAATGTTGCCAGGTACTATACCACTGAGTTGAGTTTGCAATTCACTGCTATTAATCCCTGCATGTTAGTTCTGAATTTTTACTCTTTGCATACGTAGAAAAAATGGTGTTTCTCTTCAGAGTCAAGGAGGGAAAAAAGAAAAGTTAAAAGACACTTATAACACTTTTGTGTCCACCCCTAAAATCAGCATATTGATCTACTATTTTTCTAGGTATTGATGGAATATTGACTCATATACTTTCATACAACTGCTAATATATATATATATATAGACTCATTTTTCTTCTTCCACTTTCATCTACAGCCTATTTGTTTTTCTCCCCCCATTTTTCGTTTGGATTCATAGCATAAATTGACAACAAAGATACATCTCAATTTAGAGCTTCCAAAAGGCACCCATAAAAGTATCTGGTGCTCATGGAATTTCTCTTTCTTCTGTGTCTCTTAGTTACACTTTTCTCTTATTACACTTTTCTATCCAGCCGCGGCTAAGAGGCATATAATCAGAAGCAGCTAAGCAATGTATGCAAGGGAAATAAAATGAACACAAACCAAGATAACCGGTTTTGTAAATTAGATAGCAAGGCCACCCTCAGAGTCAGTTTGAGGGTTTCGTGGGAAGCCTAAGAAATATAACTGATATAACTGATATATTATCAGTTATAAAAAAAGTTATAAGAAAAGGGTCAAGCTTTAAAACTGGAATTGGCTTTTCAAATTTAATGAGCAAAAAGAAACCCCAAAACTGGAATTGTAATTGTGGAGAAATAGAACTGATAATATCTGGAACTTGCAGCAGTTTACAGGCTTAACTATGTATGTGTTCCTTAAATTATCCACCCGCAGATATCAGATTACAATAAGTCCTCACTTAATGTCATTGATAGGTTCTTGGAAACTACCACTTTAAGCAAAAGGACATAATGCATACGAAACCAGTTTTCCCATAGTCTAATTGATAGGAAAAAGAGTTGAGTTATGAAGCCACACAGTACCTCGTTTGGCTTAAAGTCACTGTTTCCAAGAACATATCCACAATGTTAAGTAAGGACTTACTGTAAATGAAAATATTTGCAGTAAATCGCTTTTGAGAGAATTGGTTATCACACTCTTCTCTGGGTATCACTGAAAATTCAGAATGTTTAGTTACATCAGGCTATACTCACTGGTATGAAATCAGGGAGCAAGTATAAAGTAGGTGTAGGGAAATAATTTATGTTGGATTAAATGATCCAATGAAGGAATTTTATTAAGCCCCTAGAAATCCCAGAATGAAAATGTATAACTGCATGACTAACCCCTGTAAGAATTTGCTGGGGTTTCTGCATTATGTACGCTTCCCAGGCCATTTGTAATGAAGCTACCGTGATCTGTTAAGGAAGAGACCTACACCTGGGAACATAAACAGCCAATTCCATCCTGGACATCAGTCTCCTGTTTGACTCATTCCAACCCCAAGAATATGTTGTAGAGTGTAGGACCCATGAAAGTTACCTACAGTGCTTCCCTGTACCTTCCATCATCCAGTTCCCAAACATACCTGTGTTTCTTCTCTGAATGCATAGTTACTTGGGATCCCATGTTGTATTAGTCTGTTCTCACACTGCTGTAAAGAACTACTTGAGAGTGGATAGTTTATAAAGAAACAAGGTTTAATTGACTCAGTTTTGCAGGCTATACAAGAGGCATGGCTGGGGAGGCCTCAGGAAACTTACAATCATGGGGAAGGCAAAGGGGAAGCAAGTACATATTCACATGGCGGCAGGAGAGAGAGTGAAGGGGCAGTGCCACACACTTTTAAACAACCAGATCTCAGAACTCACTAGCACGAGAACAACAAGGGGGAAATTCACCCCCATGATCCAGTCACCTCCCACCAGGCCCCTCCTCCAACACTGAAGCTCATAATTCATCATGAGATTTGGCTGGGGACACAGCGCCAAACCATATCATATGCCTTTCCCAGGACTGGTGTTGGAGGAACAGTGCCTTTGTCACACCTACCAGAATATACTCACCCACTTCCAGACACTCCATTTCTCTTTCAAGCACACCTCCTCACTTGTGCTGCCAGCTAAGGTTTACTGCAGTTACTTCCTTTGTGTGTCCTCTTACCTTACCAAGTCGCCTCACCCACCACCTACTGTTAATTAAATTACCACCTCCCCCACTTCCCCACCTCCAGAGTAGAGACTGTCTCTTCAGTTCTCTTGGCCTTCCCACAATGGGAAGTCTGGTGTGGAACATACCCTAGGAGCCAACTAAATGTGGTAGTGGCCTGCCAACCCTGCAGAGGGCTAGCAAATCTTCAGGGAGTCTGCTGCCGGTGGAAACTCACCAGTACTAGAATCCCAGGCTCCAAAGAAGTCTAGAAAAGTACGTCTTTTAAGGAGCTAATAAGAGGTTCAAGTTTCCACAAATCCTATCTGCTCTTGGCCTAGTTCTTTTGGGATCAGTGTGCTAGTCTCTCTTGTCAAACTAGTTACTGACCAGCAAGACTAAAAAACCAGGCCCAAACACATTCTATTCATGTGCTTAGATATAGACCTATGGATCAAATATCCCACTGTAAAGCAAAAAAGCAAACTGTTTTTCCCTTGTACTCTCACACTCAACAATAGCACACTTCTGTGGCTGGCTGTGTGGGGGCTTTTCCTTACACACCAAACATTTCTCACAGAGACCAACTGGGTGTCCTCTTATTCAATTCAATCCTGACACTGTCTACCTGCAGATAGTGTCCAATCCCACAGATTGACGGCTCGATCCCATGAGACCAGCCCCACTTCAGGCACTAATTCCAAGTCCAGGCGACGCATACTTCTGACTGCCTGGCTAAAAACTACATCCACGGCCGGTCATGGTGGTTCACGCCTGTAATCCCAGCACTTTGGGAGACCAAGGCGGGTGGATCACTTGAGATCAGGGGTTTGAGACCAGCCTGGCCAACATGGTGAAACCCCGTCTCTATTAAAAATACAAAAATTAAACTGGGCACGGTGGCTCACACCAGTAATCCCAGCACTTTGGGAGGCCGGGGCAGGCGGATCACGAGGTCAGATCAAGACCATCCTGGCTAACACGGTGAAACCCCATCTCTACTAAAAATACAAATAAAAATTAGCCAGGCATGGTGGCGGACGCCTGTAGTCCCAGCTACTTGGAAGGCTGAGGCAGGAGAACGGCCTGAACCCATGAGGTGGAGCTTGCAGTGAGCAGAGATCATGTCACTGCACTCCAGCCTGGGTGAGAGAGCGATGCTCCATCTCAAAAAAATAAATAAATGAAATAAAATACAAAAATTAGCTGGGTGTGGTGGCGGGCTCCTATAAGCCCAGCTATCAGGGAGGCTAAGGCAGGAGAATCGCTTGAACCCGGGAGGCAGAGGTTGCAGTGAGTTGAGATCCTGCAACTGCACTCCAGCCTGGGAGACAGAATGAGACCCCATCTCAAAAAAAAAAAAAAAAAAAAAAAGGGTTCGCATGAGCCCCCTCCCTGGGTTCAATTAAGTTCCTAGGATGGCTCACAGAACTCAGAGAAACATTTACAGAGCTGTTATGATATATATTGATTTTCATTGATGAACATTGATGCAAAAATCCTCAATAAAATACTGGCAAAACGAATCCAGCAGCACATCAAAAAGCTTATCCACCATGATCAAGTGGGCTTCATCCCTGGGATGCAAGGCTGGTTCAATATATGCAAATCAATAAATGTAATCCAGCATATAAACAGAACCAAAGACAAAAACCACATGATTATCTCAATGGATGCAGAAAAGGCCTTTGACAAAATTCAACAACCCTTCATGCTAAAAACTCTCAATAAGTTAGGTATTGATGGGACATATTTCAAAATAATAAGAGCTATCTATGACAAACCCACAGCCAATATCATACTGAATGGGCAAAAACTGGAAGCATTCCCTTTGAAAACTGGCACAAGACAGGGA
Source organism: Homo sapiens (assembly GCF_000001405.40). Taxonomy (NCBI): domain Eukaryota; kingdom Metazoa; phylum Chordata; class Mammalia; order Primates; family Hominidae; genus Homo; species Homo sapiens. Next base: position 63,108,723 of record NC_000009.12, on the reverse strand, counting down.
TGTCCTCTCTTACCACTCTTATTCAACATAGTAATGGAAGTTCTGGCCAGGGCAATCAGGCAGGAGAAGGAAATAAAGGGTATTCAATTAGGAAAAGAGGAAGTCAAATTGTCCCTGTTTGCAGAAGACATTATTGTATATCTAGAAAATCCCATTGTCTCAGCCCAAAATCTCCTTAAGCTGATGAGCAACTTCAGCAAAGTCTCAGGATACAAAATCAATGTACAAAAATCACAAGCATTCTTATACACCAACAACAAACAAACAGAGAGCCAAATCATGAGTGAATTCCCATTCACAATTGCTTCAAAGAGAATAAAATACCTAGGAATCCAACTTACAAGGGATGTGAAGGACCTCTTCAAGCAGAACTGCAAACCACTGCTCAAGGAAATAAAAGAGGATACAAACAAATGGAAGAACATTCCATGCTCATGGGTAGGAAGAATCAATCTCGTGAAAAAGGCCATACTGCCCAAGGTAATTTACACATTCAATGCCATACCCATCAAGCTACCAATGACTTTCTTCACAGAATTGGAAAAAACTACTTTAAAGTTCATATGGAACCAAAAAAGAGCCCACATCACCAAGTCAATCCTAAGCCAAAACAACAACGCTGGAGGCATCACACTACCTGACTTCAAACTATACTACAAGGCTACAGTAACCAAAACAGCATGGTACAGGTACCAAAACAGAGATATAGATCAATGGAACAGAACAGAGCCCTCAGAAATAACGCCACATATCTACAACTATCTGATCTTTGACAAACCTGAGAAAAACAAGCAATGGGGAAAGGATTCCCTATTTAATAAATGGTGCTGGGAAAACTGGCTAGCCATATGTAGAAAGCTGAAACTGGATCCCTTCCTTACACCTTATACAAAAATCAATTCAAGATGGATTAAAGACTTAAAAGTTCAACCTAAAACCATAAAAACCCTAGAAGAAAACCTAGGCATTACCATTCAGGACATAGGCATGGGCAAGGACTTCATGTCTAAAACACCAAAAGCAATGGCAACAAAAGCCAAAATTGACAAATGGGATCTAATTAAACTAAAGAGCTTCTGCACAGCAAAAGAAACTACCATCAGAGTGAACAGGCAACCTACAAAATGGGAGAAAATTTTCACAACCTACTCATCTGACAAAGGACTAATATCTAGAATCTACAATGAACTCAAACAAATTGACAAGAAAAAAACAAACAACCCCATCAAAAAGTGGGCGAAGGACATGAACAGACACTTCTCAAAAGAAGACATTTATGCAGCCAAAAAACACATGAAAAAATGCTCACCATCACTGGCCATCAGATAAATGCAAATCAAAACCACAATGAGATACCATCTCACACCAGTTAGAATGGCAATCATTAAAAAGTCAGGAAACAACAGGTACTGGAGAGGATGTGGAGAAATAGGAACACTTTTACACTGTTGGTGGGACTGTAAACTAGTTCAACCACTGTGGAAGTCAGTGTGGCAATTCCTCAGGGATCTAGAACTAGAAATACCATTTGACCCAGCCATCCCATTACTGGCTATATGCCCAAAGGACTATAAATCATGCCGCTATAAAGACACATGCATACGTATGTTTATTGTGGCATTATTCACAATAGCAAAGACTTGGAACCAACCCAAATGTCCAACAATGATAGACTGGATTCAGAAAATGTGGCACATATACACCATGGAATACTATGCAGCCATAAAAAATGATGAGTTCATGTCCTTTGTAGGGACATGGATGAAATTGGAAATCATCATTCTCAGCAAACTATCGCAAGAACAAAAAACCAAACACCGCATATTCTCACTCATAGGTGGGAATTGAACAATGAGAACACATGGACACAGGAAGGGGAACATCACACTCTGGGGACTGTTGTGGGGTGGGGGGAGGGGGGAGGGATAGCATTGGGAGATATTCCTAATGCTAGATGACGAGTTAGTGGGTGCAGTGCACCAGCATGGCACATGTATACATATGTAACTAACCTGCACATTGTGCACATGTACCCTAAAACTTAAAGTATAATAATAATAATAAAAAAATACATCACCAAAAAAATAAAGAGGGCATTATAAAATGCCTCATGGAAAAAATATTATTTTAACAATTAGTAAAGTAAAATAAAAATTTGTGACTCATAAAGACACACTTCATTTTAATCCTCTATTTTTTTTTTACAAATGGGACTTGAATATTTTAAGATAAAATTTAAAAAATCAAGTAATTTTAATCAGAAATTTCAAAAAAATAAAACCCTGAATCCAATTCAAATTTCACTTACTTGGAAATTGTCACTGATATAAATTTATTTATATAAATGTGATATAACCAATAAAGATATGCAATAGAGTCATTGTTAATTTGGGTAAAATAATTTTAAAAACAATGCAAACTTGTATTACCTCCATATGTATGTATGTACACATGTACACATATATGAATATTTATATATTTGCGTACACACACCATATATGTACCTGTGTATAAATGAATAACAATGGAATATCAGTTGGCCTCTACTACAACATTTGAAGGCCCATTGCACAATGGCCAGAACAGAGACGACATCAGAATGCAACTTAAAATTTCCAAGATGACTTGAATTATATCTGAATTTCTAACAGGGCATAGAGAAATTAAAATCTTGTTTGATTATGCTTCTTTGTTTATTACTGGGAGAGCCTCACATGCAAAGCAGATCAGGATATTCTCTTACCAAATGTGTTAATTAACAGTCAGTTCATAATGTAAGGGTGACTCAAATAGCAGATTCAATATCAAACAGGAAGGGCTTTTGTAGCCCGTTCTATTTTCGGTCAACCACAAACCACCCACTCCTGCTGAAATAAAAACTTAAAAGGCAGGTGGAGGAAAATATGTTCTAGACCAAGGGGTAGGTTCCGGGTCTGCAAAAGACATAGTGTGCCACCCACAAACACACAACTTCAAGGAGCGTGGCTCAATCCTTCAGAAAATTGGTTCTAACTTTCAAATCATTAGGGATCTTCTTTATGAAAGATATAGCAAACAAAAACACAAAATATACCCCTCTAAGATTATTAGGAAGTTAAAAAAAAGTGACTTGTAACTTTTAATAAATAACTAAGGAGGTAAGCTTGTTCATTTCTGAGATTCACAACTTTTATAAAGGTGCTGTATTAATACTTGAATTGTGCTATGTTCAATAGAAGCAGAGACATAAGCCATACTGAGAGAAGAAAAAAATTTTACAACAAGAAAATCTAATGCTGTTTAATTTCTTTAAATATTTATTAATTTCTGAATGCTATGTGATTGCTTTTATATTAATTTTTCAGTAGGGAAAATGAATACAATTGAATACAATTTCTCAGTTGAGAAATTAAATACAATGGATTTTAGTGTGATGACATACTTGATGGGATAATTTTAAAATCATGATTTTAATTAGATATAATACTTTTAGGTAGAATAATAAAAATAAAGGAAAACCGATTTTCTTTAAATTCCGTCAATTATTTCTTTCTCACAATAATTAATATGTAATTTACCAATGATGTAGTAGATTAATATCAAATTCTCTTTCTTTTGGTTTCATCAAAAAATGATGAGCATTTTTCTCTGATTGATGTTCAGTTACTTTCAGATGGCTTGTAATCTTGTACTTTCAACATTAAAGATTTTTTTTCACATATTGATACCAATCATTTTATGATATATCTGATTTTATAATTATGTATTCATTGTTTTCAAATGAGAGTTATGGTTGTATACAGTAAGAATTATAATAGAGGAAGTTATCTGGTGCTCCAGGAATTTAAATAAGAGAAGATATAAAGATCTCAGCCTTTGTATCAATATTTTAATTGGATCCTGAAAAATGAATGGAGATAGACAGAAAACAAGTAAAAAATGGTCTAAGCAGATGGAATAGAAGGAGTAAAAGGAGAGTGATAGAAAAGTGTGTGTGTCTTTGAAGGAACATAACCTGTTCTGGGTGTGGCTACAGCACAGGTTTGTGAAGGAAAATGTTAAATGATTGAGGAGAATGTCTCTCAATATCAGTGATTTTGTATTTTACCCTTCAATGATGGGACATAAGTAAACAATTTTTAAAAGCATAGTGGGTGTGTGTGTATATAAATATATAGTATATATAGTATATAGCATGTCTATACTTATACTATATACATACATATAGTGTATATGTATATATGTATATATAGTATATATATATATACTTATTTTCATTCTAGATAGAAGTTTTTGAGATGCAGTTAGAAGAAAAAGTCAGAAAGAATAGTCAAGATTATTCCAGCAGTACAGGCATGATGTGATGAATAACTAAATTAAAACATTAGCAGCAACACAGAAGAGAAATGGCAGAATAGAAAGGTAATTCAAGGTAGAAACAGCTGAACTTAATAATTCATTTAGAAGGAAGAGTCAAGGTATAAATACTCTAAATTTTCTTGGCGACTGGCTTGATATTATCATCATTAGCTGAGATGGGCAATGCTTTAAAAGAAATAGATTTATTTGCCAAAATATAAAATGTGTTTATGGCTATGTCAAATTTGAGATGCAGGTGGTGAAGACAGAGGGAGAGAATCAGTTGATATTTTAAAATACAGGTTTGAAACCTACAGGAAAATATTGGAGTAAAAAAAAATAAAGAAAATCAAACGTCAAAGGAAATGCTGGAAGTGTGGGAATGGATAAAAGGAGCACAGGAAAAGTGTGCAGAGCATTGTTACCCAAAGTGCTGTGGGAATTTTATACACATATGAATACAACTCGCAAAACACACAAATATTTTTGCTTCCCTGGATCATTTACTGGAGTCTTTTACATACACATTCTGAAGTATAAGGTATGCAGAATTTTCTAAGCGTATCATACAATTCCATTCCAAGAATACATTTCAGGAAAACTGTTGTCAATCAGGGAAACATTGGTGCAGAATAGTAAGAAAAGAAATACCCATTAAGACTAGTAGTTACACAGTGGACATGAAAAAACTAGGCAGCAAGGAGTTATTAAAAAGAAAGCATGGGCTGGGCATTGTGGCTCATGCCTATAATCCCGGCACTTTGGGAGGCCGAGGCGGGCGGATCACCTGAGGTTGGGAGTTTGAGACCAGCCTGACCAACATGAAGAAACCCCATCTCTAGTAAAAATACAAAATTAGCTGGGCATGGTGGCACATGCTTGTAATCGCAGCTACTCGGGAGGCTGAGGCAGGAGAGTCTCTTGAAACTGGGAGGCGGAGGTTGCAGTGAGCTGAGATCACACTGTTGCACTCCAGCCTGGGTGAAAAGAGGGAAACTTCATCTCAAAAAAAAAAAAAAAGAAAAAAGAAAAAAATGAAAGCATGGGGCCAACATTGAGTGGTCTTAAGGAAGTCAAGGTAGAAGGAAATTTAAAGAAGGAAATGAGAAGCAATGCAGAATGTTTAGAAAGTCAATTAGGAAGCTCCCATAAATATTCTCACTATGTATTATAGGGAATTCATTTATAACTTCAAAAATACCACTCAAAAAAGATGGTAATTGTTGAAATGAGATTTCAATGGGTGAAAGAGGCTGGGCACAGTGGCTCATGCCTGTAATCCCAGCACTTTGGGAGGCCGAGGTGGATGGATCACGACGTCAGCAGTTCAAGACCAGCCTGGCCAAGATGTGAAACCCCATCTCTACTAAAAATACAAAAATTAAACGGGCATGGTGTTGGGCACCTGTAATCCTAGCTACTTGGGAGGCTGAGACAGGAGAATCGCTTGAACCCAGGAGGTGGAGGTCGCAGTGAGCCGAGATGATGCCACTGCACTCCAGCCTGGGTGACAGAGCAAGAGAAAGAAAAGAGAAAAGAAAAGAGAAGAGAAGAAAGAAAAGAACGACGGAAGGGATTTTAAAAAGAGATGAGAAGTCAGTATACTGTTTTGGAGGAAGTGTAATTTATGATTTTGGCTATAACTTGCTATGAATGGAAACAGCAACACACCACTGGATTTCAACTTTTGAGTGCTTAAGAAGGTGGAGATGGTGATTAAAATAATAATAATAATAATAATAATAATAATAATAATAATGCTAAGTGTGTAATAGTTGCTAAGTGTGTGGTGTCTGAACCCAGGATATCAGGATGTCTGGAACTGGGATTGAATCCCAGCTCTTCCACTTTCTGGTTATGTGAGTGACTGTAGGCAAATTACTTAATCTTTTCATGCTCCAGTTTCCCATATGTAAAATGAGAATTATAATAGTAAACTACTTCATGGCTTGTGAGGATGAAGTGCATGTAGAGTACTTAGTGAGTTCTCTTTGTGTATTATGTATTAGTTTCAAAATGCAGATTCTAGAGCCCTTAGATTCTCATTCAATAGGTATGAGGCAAGCACGGGCCAGGATTCTGCATTCTTTAAGGAGGTGTAATTTCCTATATCTGCTGTGACAAAGTGGTTCACATTAGGTCGCTTAAAATGAGATAAAGTTATTCTTTTACGGTTCAGAAAGCTAGAAATCTTAAATGAAGGAGTTAGCAGTGCTGCATTTTTCTCTGAATGACCTGGAAAAAAATCCTTTCTTGCTTCTTCTAGCACCGGGTGATCACTGAGCTTCATTGTCATTGCTTGGCTGGAGGATACCTCACTTTATTCTCTACCTCCATCCTCACATTGCCATCTCCTCCCTGCGTCTCTGTTTCCTCTTCCCTTCTTATGAGGATATCAACCATATTGAATTATGGCCCACTCTAATGCATTATGAGCTCATCTAGCATATCATAATTATACAGCATCTGCAAATAATTTGATTTCAAATTAAGTCATACTCACAGACATCAGGGGCTAGAACTCTAATATATATATTTTCTTTTTGAAGACACAATCTAACCCACAAAAGGGGGGGAGCCGCTTAAGATCATAAATAACTCAAGTAACAAGACTGTGTGTTTAAAATAGCATTTAAATTTCTCCAAATGGCAGACAGCTTAATTCAGATCAATACCAATCAGGAGATAAACAAGTGTTTGTCTCCTAATTGGCATTTACCTGAGATTAAAACATTATGGTAAAATACATTATCTTCAGTGATCTTTGGTTTAGGTGAGCATTCACAAGGCACAGAGTTATTATCACTTGAGCCATCTCTCTCTAATAACTCTTTTCTAATCTGCTGGCCAACAATATCAGGTTCTTTCAAATCTCTGATTATCGGACCAAACCATAAGGTCCTCCACGTGAATTGGTAGAAATATTTTTTACAAAGGTAAATGAAATTTTATTTACTTGATGGATTTCTCTTCTCCTTTGTACAAAGGGGTGACCCTTTGACAGCACAGGGAAAGAACATGATAGAAATAGACTTTCAGAAGGAAGGGCCTTCCATAACAAGGAATGCCATCTGTAATCCAGACTTTTTTCTCCTCAGGAATCCAGTCATAGGCAAATCTCTATGAATCACAGATAAATAGAAAGAAGGGTGGGAGTGTGTCAGGAGTAGGATGCTGAAAATGTGAGTAGCCTGTTCATTAATTGGTCCCTTGGAAACTGAGAAGGCAACGTGGCATACATGCAATTTCCATGGAATGATGGAAGACTGGTTGTAGTTACTATGATCCTATAATGCTCAGATCACAACGGGGTCACCCTTATTCATGACTGAGCATTCCTTCTTATTAGTATCCCAATGTGAAATTGTTTCTCAAAAAAGGAGGGGGCGGGTAATTTTTGTACAAAAGGCTTTTACTCCAAAATAAAGTGGCTTGTACTGTATTTCTCCTCTGGAGTCTTGCCGCTGGCTCCATAGGAAAATTCTGCCTCTCATAGATACCTGAGGCATTGGATTCCCTAAACAAAATTGTAGATCCACTTGTACTGCAGGCCTCTGTAGTCCAAAACGTTTCTCTTTCTCTGAGTCCCACTCACAGCTGACATCCTTCTTGACATTTGCATTTTATTTAGAATACACATCCAAATATGTTTTATGTTGCCTCTAACATTCAAAAGAGCCTCTAACAGTCTTCCTTTCCCTATCCCTTCCTTCCATTTGAAAGATGTTTGCTCCACATCACTTTCTACTGCATTCTTAGACTCCCTGAAGGTAGGAAACCTACATTTTTGTCATTTGCTCGATGTGTCTTTCCTGAAGTCTATGGTAGCTGCTATTTTTCTCTAGAGCATATCAACCGGATGCTGTCCATGTATTCCATAAGTTATGTCCATTTGGCTAGTGACATGGCCAGGGTTCCTGAGTACAAAATTGTGACACAGACAAAAATAGTTATACTTCTACAGCTACATAGTGAAGACACTGTGCCTGGAAAAAGTAAGAAATTTCAGGTATTTACCATTTATTTAAGATACAGAAAAATAATTTGCCTAAATGTATAGCAGGAAAAGGAGATAAGTGTATTCACTAAAGCAAGGAGACTACACCTGGATTTTAAATGTGTGCCCTCAGATAGGATTCCAGTACACAGTGGCTGGATTCTGAGTGTTTGTCCCTCACACAGGATTACAGAACACTGCTACGAGGTTCTGAATGGAAAAGGAAATATCTTCACATAAAGACAAGAAAGAAGCATTCTGAGAAACTTCTTTGTGATGTGTGCATTCACCTCACAGAGTTGAACTTTTCTTTTGATTTAGCACTTTTGAAATACTCTTTTTGTAGTGTCTGCAAGTGGATATTTGGAGCGCTTTACATTCTATGGTGGAAAAGTAAATATCTTCACATCAAAACCAGACAGAAGCATTCTGAGAAACTCCTCTGTGATCTATGCATTCATCTCACAGAGTTGAATGTTTCTCTTGATTGAGCAGTTCTGAAACACTGTTTTTGTAGAATCTGCAAGTGGATATTTTGAGTGCTTTGGGGCCTATGGTGGAAAAGGAAATATCTTCACATAAAAACTAGACAGAAACATTCTGAGAAACTTCTTTGTGATGTGTGCATTCAACTCACAGAGTTGAAATATTCTTTTGATTGAGCAGTTTTGAAACACTCTTTTTGTAGTATCTGCAAAGTTGGAGGACTTTGGGACCTCTAGAGGAAAGGGAAATATCTTCTCTTAAAAACTAGACAGAAGCATTCTGAGAAACTTCTTTGTGATGTGTGCATTCATCTCACAGAGCTGAACATTTCTTTTGATTGAGCAGCTTTGAAACACTCTTTTTGTAGAATCTGCAAGTGGACATTGGGAGCGATTTGAGGCCTATGGAGGAAAAGGAAACATCTTCACATAAAAACTACACAAATGCCTTCTGAGAAACTTCTTTGTGATGTGTGCATTCATCTCACAGAATTGAACCTTTCTTTTGATCGAACAGTTTTGAAACACTTCTTTTGAAGGATCTGCATGTGGATATTTGGATCAGTTTGGGGCCTGTGGTGGAAAAGGAAATATCTTCAAATAAAAACTACACAGAAGCGTTCTGAGAAAGTTCTTTGTGATGTGTGCATTCAACTCACATAGTTGAAGATTTCTTTTGATTGAGCAGTTTTGAAACAATCTTTTTGTAGTATTTGCAAGTGGATATTTGGAGTGGTTTGAGACCTATTGTAGAAGAGGAAATATCTTCACATAAATACTAGACAGAAGCATTCTGAGAAACTTCTCTGTGATGTGTGCATTCATCTCACAGAGTTGAAACTTTGTTTTGATTGAGCAGTTTTGAAACACTCTTTTTGTAGAATCTGCAAGTGGATACTTGGAGTGCTTTGAGCTCAATGGTGGAAAAGGAAGTATCTTCAATTAAAAACTAGACAGAAGCATTCTGAGAAACTTCTTTGTGATGTGTGCATTCAACTCACAGAGTTTAAACTTTCTTTTGATTGAGGAGTTCGGAAAATCTCTTTTTGTAGAATCTGCAAGTGGATATTTGGAGCGCTTTGCGGCCTATAGTGGAAACGGAAATATCTTCACATAAAAACTAGACAGAAGCCTTCTGAGAAACTCCTTTGTGATGTGTGCATTCATGTCTCAGAGATGAACCTTTCTTTTGATTGAGCAGTTTTGAAACACTTTTTGTAGAATCTGCAAGTGGATATTTGGAGCGCTTTGTGGCCAATGGTGGTAAAAGGAAACATCTTCACATAAAAACTGGATGGAAGCATTCTGAGAACTTCTTTGTGATTTATGCATTCAGCTCACAGAGTTGAACCTTTCTTTTGATTGAGCCATTTGAAACACTCTTTTTGTACGATCTGCAAGTGGATAATTGGAGTGCTTTAAGGTCTACGGTGGAGAAGGAAATATCTTCACATAAAAACTACACAGAAGCATTCTGAGAAACTTCTTTGTGATTTGTGCATTCAACACACAGAGTTGAACCTTTCTTTTGATTGAGCAGTTTGAAACACTCTTTGTGTAAAATCTGCAAGTGGATATTTGGAACGCCTTAAGGTCTATGGTGGAGAAGGAAATATCTTCACATAAAAACTGGACAGAAGCATTCTGAGAAACTACTTTGTGATGTGTGCATTCATCTCACAGAATTGAAACTTTCTTTTGATTGAGCAGATTTGAAGCACACTTTTTGTGGAATGAGCAAGTGGATATTTGGAGGGCTTCAAGACCTATGGTGGAAACTGAAATATCTTCACCTAAAAACAACACAGAAGCAGTCTGTGTAACTTCTTTCTGATGTGTGCATTCATCTCACAAAGTTGAACATTTCTTTGGATTCAGCAGTTTTGAAAAACACTTTTTGTAGTATCTGCAAGTGGATATTTGGAGCGCTTTGGGGCCTATGGTGGAAAGGGAAATATCTTCACCTAAAAACTACACAGAAGCATTCTGAGAAACTTCTTTGGGATGTGTGCATTCATCTCACAGAGTTGAACCTTTCTTTTCATTGAGCAGTTTTGAAACACTCTTTTTGTAGAATCTGTAAGGGGACATGCGGAGCTCTTTGAGGCCTGAGGTGGAAAAGGATATATCTTCACAAAAAAACTAGGTGGAAGCATTCTGACAAACCTATTTGCGATATGTGCATTCATCTCACAGAGTTGAACCTTACTTTTGATTAAGCAGTTCTGAAAAACCCTTTTGGTACTATCTGCAAATGGACATTTTGTGTGGCTTGAGACCTACAGTGGAAAAGGAAATATGTTCACATAAAAATTAGACAGAAGCATTCTGACAAATTACTTTGTAATGTATGCATTCATCTCACAGAGTTGATCATTTCTTTTGAGTGAATAGTTTGGAAGCTCTCCTTTTGTAGCATCTGCAAGTGGACATTTTGAGCGCTTTGAGGCCTATGGTGGAAAAGGAAATATCTTCCCATAAATATTAGACAGAAGCATTCTGACAAATTCTTTGTGATGTGTGCATTCATCTCAGAGAGTTGAACCTTTCCTTCGATTGTGTAGTTTTCAAACACTCTTTCTGTAACATCTGCAAGTGGACATTTGGAGTGATTTGAGGCCTAAGGTGAAAAATGAAATATCTTCACATAATAACTAGACAGAAGCATTCTGAGAAAGTTGTTTGTGATGTATGCATTAATCTCACAGAGTTGAACATTTCTTTTGATTGAGCAGCTTTGAAACACTCTTTTTGTAGAATCTGCAAGTGGACATTTGGAACACTTTGAGGCCTATGGTGGAAAAGGAAATATCTTCATAGAGAAGCTAGACAGAAATATTCTGAGAAATTTCTTTGTGATGTGGGCATTCATCTCACAGAGTTGAACTTTCTTTTGATTGAGCAGTTTTGAAACACTCTTTTTGTAGAATCTGCAAGTGGATACTTGGAGCGCTTTGCGGCATATGGTGGAAAAGGAAGTATCTTCACTTAAATACTAGACAGAAGAATTCTGACAAACTTCTTTGTGATGTGTGCATTCATCTCAGGGAATTGAACCTTACTTTTGATTGAGAAGTTTTGAAGCCCACTTTTTGTAGAATCTGCAAGTTGATATTTGGAGCACTTTTAGGCCTACGGTGGAAAAGGAAATATCCTCACATAAGAACTAGACAGAAGCATCCTGAGAAACTTCTTTGTGATGTTTTCATTCAACCCACAGAGTTGAATCTTACTTTTGGTTGAGCAGTTTGGAAACACTCTTTTTGTAGAATCTGCAAGCGGACATTTTGTTCGCTTTGAGGCCTATGGTGGAAAAGGAAATATCTTCACTTAAGATCTAGACAGAAGCATTCTGAGAAACTTCTTCGTGATGGGTGCAGTCATCTCACAGAGTTGAACATTTCTTTTGATTGAGCACCTTTGAAACATTATTTTTGTAGGATCTGCATGTGGACCTTTGGAGCGCCTTGAGGCCTATGGTAGAAAAGGAAATATTTTCACATAAAAACTATACAGAAGCATGCTGACAAACTTCTTTGTGTTGTTTGCATTCATCTCACAGAATTGAACGTTTCTTTCCATTGAGCAGTTTTGAAACACTGTTTTTGTACAATCTGCAAGTGGACATTTGGAGCGCTTTGAGGCCTATGGTGGAAAAGGAAATATCTTCACTTAAGAACTAGACAGAACATTCTGAGAAACTTCTTTGTGATGTGTGCATTCATCTCACAGAGTTGAACCTTTCTTTTGATTGAGCAGTTTTGAAACACTCTTTTTGTAGAATCTGCAAGTGGACATTTGGAGCGCTTTGCAGCCAATTATGGAAAAGGAAATATCTTCACATAACAACAAGACAGCAGCATTCTCAGAAACTTCTTTGTGATGTGTGTATTCATCTCACGGAGTTGAAACTTTCTTTTGATTGAGCAGCTTTGAAACACTCTTTTGTAGAATCTGCAAGTGGACATTAGGAGCACTTTGAGGCCTATGGCAGAAAAGGAAATATCTTCACATAAAAACTAGACAGAAGCATTGTCACAAACTTCTTTGGAATGCGTGCTTTCAAGTCACAGAGTTGAACATTTCTTTTCATTAATCTATTTTGAAACACTCTTTTGGTAGAATCTGCAAGTGGACATTTGGAATTCTTTGGGGCCTACGGTGGAAAAGGAAATATCTTCACAGAAAAACTACACAGAATTATTCTGGGAAATTTTTTTGGGATGTGTGCATGCATCTCACAGAGTTGAACTTTCTTTTGATTGAGCAGTTTGAAACACTCTTTTTGTAGAATCTGCAAAGGGACATTTGAGCACTTTGTGGCATATGGTGGTAAAGGAAATATCTTCACATAAAAACTAGACAGAAGCATGCTGACAAACTTCTTTGTGTTGTTTGCATTCATCTCACAGAATTGAACCTTTCTTTCCATTAAGCAGTTTTGAAACACTGTTTTTGTACAATCTGCAAGTGGACATTTGGAGCACTTTGAGGCTTATGGTGTAAAAGGAAATATCTTCACTTAAGAACTAGACAGAACATTCTGAGAAACTTCTTTGTGGTGTGTGCATTCATCTCACATAGTTGAACATTTCTTTTCAATGAGCAGTTTTGAAACACTCTTTTTGTAGAATCTATAAGTGGACACTTGGTGTGCTTTGAGGTCTATGGTGGAAAAGGAAATATCTGCTTATAAAACATGGACAGAAACATTCTGAGAAACTTCTTCATGATGTGTATATTCATCTCAAAGATTTGAACCTTTCTTTTGATTGAACAGTTTGGAAACACTCTTTTTGCAGTATCTGCAAGTGGACATTTGGAGGGCTCTGAGGCCTCTGGTGGAAAAGGAAATATCTTCACTTAAGAAGTGCAAAGAATCATTCTGAGAAAATACTTTGTGATGTGTGCATTCATCTGACAGAGTTGAACCTTACTGTTGATTGAGCAGGTTTGAAACATCCTTTTTGTACTAGGTACAAGTGGACATTTGGAGTGCGTTGATGCCTATGGTGTAAAAGTATATATCTTTACATAAAAACTAGACAGAAGGATTCTTAGAAATGTCTTTGTTATATGTGCATTCATCTCACAGAGTTGAAACTTTCTTTTGATTGACTAGTTTGGAAATCTTTTTGAAGGATCTGCAAGTGGACATTTGGATCACTTTGAGGCCTATGGTGGAAAAGGAAATATCTTCACATAAGAAGTAGACAGAAACATTCTGAGAAACTTCTTTGTGATGTGTGCATTCTTTTCACAGAGTTGAACCTTTCTTTTGATTGAGCAGCTTTGAAATGCTTTTTTTGTAGAATCTGCAAGTGGACATTTGGAGCGCTTTGAGGAGTGTAATGGAAAACAAAATATCTTCATGTAACAACTATGCAGAAGTATTGTGAGAAACTTCTTTGTGATGAGTGCATTCATCTCACAGAGTTGAAACTTTCTTTTGATTTTCTAGTTTGGAAACTCTCTTTTTGTAGAATCTGCAAGTGGACATTTGGAGCGCATTGAGGCCAATGGCAGAGAAGGAAATATCTTCACATAAAAACTAGACAGAAGCATTCTGATAAACTTCTTTGTGATATGTGCATTCACCTCACAGTGTTGAACCTTACTTTTAATTGAGCCGTTTTGAAACTCCCTTTTTGTACTATCTGCAAGTGGACATTTGGAGTGCTTTGAGGCCTATGGTGGAAATGGAGATATCTTCACATAAAAACTAGACAGAAGCAATCTGAGAAACTTCTTTTTGATGTGTGCATACATCTCACAGAGTTAAACATTTCCTGTGATGGAGCACTTTTGAAACTCTCTTTTTGTAGAATCAGCAACTGGACATCTTGAGCTCTTTGAGGCCTATGGTGGAAAAGGAAACATCTTCACATAAAAACTAGACGGAAGAATTCTCAGAAATTTCTTTGTGGTGTGTGAGTTCATCTCACAGAGTAGAACCTTTCTTTTGATTGAGCAGTTTGGAAACACTCTTTTTGTAGAATCTGCAAGTGGACATTTGGAGAACTTTGTGGCCTATAGTGGAAAAGGAAATATCTTCACATAAAAACTAGACAGAAGAATTCTGAGAAACTTCTTTGTGATGTATGCATTCATCTCATAGCGTTGAGCATTTCTTCTGATTGAGCAGCTTTGAAACACTCTTTTTGTAGAATCTGCATGTGGACATTTGGAGCGCTTTGAGGCCTATAGTGGAAAAGGAAATATCTTCATATAAAAACTATACAGAAACATTCTTACAAACTTCTTAGTGATGTGTGCATTCATCTCATAGAGTTGAACCTTTCTGTTCATTGAGCAGTTTTGAAAAACTCTTTTTGTGGAATGTGCAATTGTACATTTGAAGCGATTTGAGGCCTATGGTTGAAAAGGAAATATGTTCACATAAAAACTAGACAGAAGCATTCTGACCAATTACTTTGTGATGTGTGCATTCATCTAACAGAGTTGAACCTTTCTTTTGGTTGAGTAGTTTGGAAATTCTCTTTTTGTAGGATCTGCAAGAGCACATTAGGAGTGCTTTGGGGCCTAAGGTGGAAAAGGTAATATCTTCACTTAAGAAGTAGACAGAAGCATTCTGAGTAACTTCTTTGTGATGTGTGCATTCATCTCACAGAGTTGAACCTTTCTTTTGATTGAGTAGCTTAGAAACTCTCTTTTTGTAGAATCTGCAAGTGGACATTTGGAGCGCATTTGGGCCTATGGTGGAAAAGGAAATATCTTCATTTAAGAAGTAGACGGAAGCATTCTGTGAAACTGCTTTGTGATGTGTGCATTCCTCTCACAGAGCTGAAACTTTATTTTAATTGAGCAGTTTTGAAAAACTCTTTTTCTAGAAATTGCAAGTGGACATTTGGAGTGCTTTGCAGCCGACGGTGGAAAAGGAAATATCTTCACATACAAACTAGACAAAAGCATTCTGACAAGCTTATTTGTGATGGGTGCATTCATCTCAAAGAGTTGAACCTTACTTTCGATTGAGCAGTTTTGAAACACTCTTTTTATAGAATCTGCAAGTGGACATTTGGAGAGCTTTGAGGCCTGTGGTGGAAAAGGAAATATCTTCACACAAAACTAGACAGAAGCATTCTGAGAAACTTATATGTAATATATGCAATCATCTCACAGAATTTCAACTTTCTTTTGATTGAGCAACTTTGAAACACTCTTTTTGTAGTATCTGCAAGTGGACATTTTTGGCGCTTTGAGGCAATGGTGGAAAAGGAAATAGCTTCACATAAAAACTATACAGAAACATTCTGAAAAACTTCACTGAGATGTGTGGATTCATCTCACAGAGTTGAACCTTTCTTTTGATTGAACAGTTTTGAAAGACTCTTTTTGTAGAATGTGAATTTGGACATTTGGTGCGCTTTGCAGCCTATGGTAGAAAAGGAAATATCTTCACATAAAAACTAGACAGAAGCATTCTGACAAACTTCTTTGTGATTTGTGCATTCATCTCACAGAGTTGAACCTTTCTTTTGATTGAGCGGCTTTGAAACACTCTTTTTGTAGAATCTGCATGTGGACATTTGGAGCTCTTTGAGGCCTATGGTGGAAAACGAAATACCTTCACATAAAAACTATACAGAAACATTCTGATAAACTTCTTTGTTATGTGTGCATTCTTCTCACAGATTTCAACCTTTCTTTCCATTGAGCAGTTTTGAAAAACTCTTTTTGTGGAATCTGCAATTGTACATTTGAAGCGCTTTGAAGCCTATGGCTTAAAAGGAAATATGTTCACATAAAAACTAGACAGAATCATTCATAGAAAATCCTTTGTGTTGTGTGCATTCATCTCACCGGGTTGAACATTTCTTTTGATTGAGCAGGTTTAAACACTCTTTTTGTAGAATCTGCAAGTGGACATTAGGAGCCCTTTGAGTCCTGTGGTGGAATAGGAAATATCTTCATTTAAGAACTAGACAGAAGCATTCAGAGAAACTTCTTTGTGATGTGTGCGTTCATCTCACAGAGTTGAAACTTTCTTTTCATTGAGCAGTTTTGAAACAATCTTTTTGTAGAATCTGCAAGTAGACATTTGGAGCGCTTTGCAGCCTATGGTGGAAAAGGAAACATCTATACATGAAAACTAGACAGAAGCATTCTGACAAACTTCTTTGTGATGTGTGCTTTCATATCACAGAGTTGAACATTTCTTTTGCTTGAGCAGTTTGTAAACACTCTTTTTATAGAACCCGCATGTGGACATTTGGAGTGCTTTGAGGCCTACGGTGGAAAAGGAAACATCTTCATATGAAAACTAGACAGAAGCATTCTGACAGACTTTTTTTGATGTGAGAATTCACCTCACAGAGTTGAACCCTACCTTCGATTGAGCAGTTTTGAAACACTCTTTTTGTAGGATTTGCAATTGGACATTTGGAGTGCTTTGAGGACTATGGTGGAAAAGGAAATATCTGCACATAAACACTAGACAGAATTATTCTGAGAATATTATTTGTGATGTGTGCATTCATCTCACAGAGGTGAACCTTTCTTTTGATTGAGCAGTTTTGAAACACTATTTTTGTGGGATCTGTAAGTGGACATTTGGAGCGTTTTGACGCCTATGCTGGAAAAGGAAATATCTTCACATAAAAACTGGACAGAAGCATTCTGAGAAATTTCTTTGTGATGTGAGCATTCATCTCACAGAGTTGAAGCTTTCTTTTGATTGAACAGCTTTGAAACACTCTTTTTGTAGAATCTGCATGTGGAAATTTGGAGCATTTTGAGGCCTATTGTTGAAAAGGTAATATCTTCACATAATAACTAGACCCAAGCATTCTGAGAATCTTCTTTGTGATATGTGCATTTATCTCACAGCGTTGAAATTTTCTTTTGATAGAGTGGTTTGGAAACTCTTTTTGTAGAATCTGCAAGGGGACATTTGGAGAGCTTTGAGTCCTGTGGTGGAAAAGGAAATATCTACACTTAAGAACCTGACAGAAGAATTCTGAGAAACTTCTTTGTGAAATGTGCATTCATCTCACAGAGTTGAACCTTTCTTTTGATTGAGCAGTTTTGAAACACTCTTTCTGCAGGATCTGCAAGTGGACATTTGCAGCCCTTTGGGGCCTATGGTGGAAAAGGAAATATCTTCATATAAAGACTAGACAGAAGAATTCTGGCAAATTTCTTTGTGATGTGTGCATTCATCTCACTGAGGTGAACCTTTCTTTGATTGAGTAGTTTGGAAACTCTCTTTTTGTGGAATCCGGAAGTGGACATTTGGAGTGCTTTGGGACCAATGGTGGAAAAGGAAATATCTTCACTTAAGAACTAGACAGAAGCATTCTCAGAAACTTCTTTGTGATGTGTGCATTCATCTCACAGAGTTGAACCTTTCTTTTGATTGAGCAGTTTTGAAACACTCTTTTCGTAGAATCTGCAAGCGGACATTTGGAGCGCTTTGAGGCCTATGGTGGAAAAGGAAATATCTTCACATAAAAACTAGACAGAAACATTCTGAAAAACCTCTTTGTGATGTGTGCATTCATCTCACAGGGTTGAAACTTACTTTCGATTGAGCAATTTTTAAACACTCTTTTTGTAGTGTCTAGAATTGGACATTTGGAGTACTTAGAGTCCTATGGAGGAAAAGGAAATATCTTCATATAAAAACTAGAGAGAAGTGTTTTGAGAAACTCTTTGTGATGTGTGCATGCATTCATCTCACAGATTTGAACCTTTCTTTTGATTCAGCAGCTTTGAAACACTCTTTTTGTAGCATCTAGAATTGGACATTTGGAGCGCTTAGAGTCCTATGGTGGAAAAGGAAATATATTCACGTAAAAACTAGACAGAATCATTCAGAGAAAATTCTTTGTGATGTGTGCATTCATCTCACAGAGTTAAACCGTTATTTTGATGGAGCAGTTTGGAAAAACTTTTTTTGTACGATCTGGATGTTTACATTTGGAGCGTTTTGAGGCCTATGGTGTAAAAGGAAATATCTTCAAATAAAAACTAGACAGAAGCATTCTGAGAAACTTCTTTGTGATGGGTGCATTCATCTCACAGAGTTGAACATTTCTTTTGATTCAGCAGCTTTGAAACACTCTTTTTGTAGAATATGCAAGAGGACATTTGGAGTGCTTTGAGGCCAATGGTGGAAAAGGAAATATCTTCACATAAAAACTAGACAGAAGCATTCTGAGAAACTTCTTTGTGACGTGTGCATTCATCTCAGAGTGTTGAACCTTTCTTTTGATTGAGCAGCTTTGAAACACTCTTTTTTTAGAATCTGCATGTGCAGATTTGGAGCGCTTTGAGGCCAATGGTGGAAAAGGAAATATCTTCACATAAAAATGATTCAGAAATATTCTGAGAAACTTCTTCCTGATGTGTGCATTCATGTCACAGAGTTGAACCTTTATTTCATTGAGCAGTTTTTATTTATTTATTTATTATTATTATACTTTAAGTTTTAGGGTACATGAGCACAATGTGCAGGTTAGTTACATATGTATACATGTGCCATGCTGGTGCACTGCACCCACTAACTCGTCATCTAGCATTAGGAATATCTCCCAATGCTATCCCTCCCCCCTCCCCCCACCCCACAACAGTCCCCAGAGTGTGATGTTCCCCTTCCTGTGTCCATGTGTTCTCATTGTTCAATTCCCACCTATGAGTGAGAATATGCGGTGTTTGGTTTTTTGTTCTTGCGATAGTTTGCTGAGAATGATGATTTCCAATTTCATCCATGTCCCTACAAAGGACATGAACTCATCATTTTTTATGGCTGCATAGTATTCCATGGTGTATATGTGCCACATTTTCTTAATCCAGTCTATCATTGTTGGACATTTGGGTTGGTTCCAAGTCTTTGCTATTGTGAATAATGCCGCAATAAACATACGTGTGCATGTGTCTTTATAGCGGCATGATTTATAGTCCTTTGGGTATATACCCAGTAATGGGATGGCTGGGTCAAATGGTATTTCTAGTTCTAGATCCCTGAGGAATTGCCACACTGACTTCCACAGTGGTTGAACTAGTTTACAGTCCCACCAACAGTGTAAAAGTGTTCCTATTTCTCCACATCCTCTCCAGCACGTGTTGTTTCCTGACTTTTTAATGATTGCCATTCTAACTGGTGTGAGATGGTATCTCATTGTGGTTTTGATTTGCATTTATCTGATGGCCAGTGATGGTGAGCATTTTTTCATGTGTTTTTTGGCTGCATAAATGTCTTCTTTTGAGAAATGTCTGTTCATGTCCTTAAAAATCAATGTACAAACATCACAAGCATTCTTATACACCAACAACAGACAAACAGAGAGCCAAATCATGAGTGAACTCCCATTCACAATTGCTTCAAAGAGAATAAAATACCTAGGAATCCAACTTACAAGGGATGTGAAGGACCTCTTCAAGGAGAACTACAAACCACTGCTCAAGGAAATAAAAGAGGATACAAACAAATGGAAGAACATTCCATGCTCTTGGGTAGGAAGAATCAATATCGTGAAAATGGCCATACTGCCCAAGGTAATTTACACATTCAATGCCATCCCCATCAAGCTACCAATGACTTTCTTCACACAATTGGAAAAAACTATTTTAAAGTTCATATGGAACCAAAAAAGAGCCCGCATCGCCAAGTCAATCCTAAGCCAAAAGAACAACGCTGGAGGCATCACACTACCTGACTTCAAACTATACTACAAGGCTACAGTAACCAAAACAGCATGGTACTGGTACCAAAACAGATATATAGATCAATGGAACAGAACAGAGCCCTCAGAAATAACGCCACATATCTACAACTATCTGATCTTTGACAAACCTGAGAAAAACAAGAAATGGGGAAAGGATTCCCTATTTAATAAATGGTTCTGGGAAAACTGGCTAGCCATATGTACAAAGCTGAAACTGGATCCCTTCCTTACACCTTACACAAAAATCAATTCAAGATGGATTAAAGACTTAAACTTTTGACTTAAAAGCATAAAAACCCTAGAAGAAAACCGAGTCATTACCATTCAGAACATAGGCATGGGCAAGGACTTCATGTCTAAAACACCAAAAGCAATGGCAACAAAAGCCAACATTGACAAATAGGATCTAATTAAACTAAAGGGCTTCTGCACAGCAAAAGAAACTATCATCAGAGTGAACAGGCAACCAACAAAATGGGAGAAAAGTTTCACAAGCTACTCATCTGACAAAGGGCTAATATCCAGAATCTACAATGAACTCAAACAAATTTACAAGAAAAGAACAAACAACCCCATCAAAAAGTGGGTGAAGGACATGAACAGACATTGAGCAGTTTTGAAAAGCTCTTTTTGTAATATCTGCAAGTGGACATTTGGAGCGCTTTTTGGCCTATGGTGGAAAAGGAAATATCTTCATTTAAGAACTAGATGGAAGCATTCTGTGAAACTGCTTTGTGATGTGTGCATTCCTCTCACAGAGCTGAAACTTTATTTTAATTTAGCAGTTTTGAGAACTCTCATTTTGTAGAATCTGCAAGTGGACATTTGGAGCACTTTGCGGCCTATGGTGGAGAAGGAAATATCTTCACATTAAAACTAGGCAGAAGCATTCTGACAAGCTTATTTGTCATTTATCTCATGGAGTTGCCATTTATCTCATGGAGTTGAACTTAACTTTCGATAGAGCAGTTTTGAAACACTCCTTTTGTAGAATCTGCAAGTGGACATTTGGAGAGCTTTGAGGCCTGTGGTGGAAAAGGAAATATCTTCACACAAAACTAGCCAGAAGCAATCTGACAAAGTTTTTGTGATGTGTGCATTCATCTCGCAGAGTGGAACCTTAATTTCGATTGAGCAGTTTTGAAACACTCCTTTTGTAGAATATGTAAGTGGACATTTGGAGCGCTTTGATGCCTATGGTGGAAAACGAAATATCTTCACATAATAACTAGACAGAAGCATTCTGAGAAACTTCTATGTGATGTGTGCATTCATCTCATAGAGTTGAAACTTTCTTTTGATTGAGCCACTTTGAAACACTCTTTCTGTAGTATCTGCAAGTGGACATTTTTGGCGCTTTGAGGCAATGGTGGAAAATGTAATATCTTCACATAAAAACTAGACAGAAGAATTCTGAGAAACTTCTTTGAGATGTGTGTCTTCATGTTACAGAGTTGAACCTTTCTTTTGATTGAGCAGTTTGGAAACACACTTTTTGAAGAATCTTCAGGTGGACAATTGGAGCACTTAGTGGCCTATGGTAGAAAAGGAACTATGTTCACATACAATCTAGACAGAAGCAATCGGACAAGAGCAACTCTGAAACACTCTTTCTGTAGTATCTACAAGTGGACATTTTTGGCGCTTTGAGGCAATGGTGGAAAAAGAAATATCTTCACACAAGAACTATACAGAAACATTCTGAAAAACTTCACTGAGATGTGTGGATTCATCTCACAGAGTAGAACCTTTCTTTTGATTGAGTAGTTTTGAAAGACTCTATTTGTAGAATCTGAATTTGGACATTTGGTGCGCTTTGTGGCCCATGGTGGAAAAGGAAATATCTTCACATAAAAACTAGACAGAAGCATTCTGACAAACTTCTTCATGATTGCGCATTCATGTCACAGAGTTGAACCTTTCTTTTGAATGAGCAGCTTTGAAACACTCTTTTTGTAGAATCTGCATGTGGACATTTGGAGCTCTTTGAGGCCTATGGTGGAAAAGTAAATACCTTAATATAAAAACTATACAGAAATATTCTGACAAACTTCTTTGTTATGTGTACATTCTTCACACAGATTAGAACCTTTCTTTTCATTGAGCAGTTTTGAAAAACTCTTTTTGTGGAATCTGCAAGTGTACATTTGAAGCGCTTTGAGGCCTATGGTTTAAAAGGAAATATGTGCACATAAAAACTAGACAGAATCATTCATAGAAAATCCTTTGTGTTGTGGGCATTCATCTCACCGGACTGAACATTTCTTCTGATTGAGCAGGTTTAAACACTCTTTTTGTAGAATCTGCAAGTGGACATTGGGAGCCCTTTGAGTCCTATGGTGGAATAGGAAACATCTTCATTTAAGAACTAGACAGAAGCATTCTGAGAAACATCTTTGTGATGTGTGCATTCATCTCACAGAGTTAAACATTTCTTTTGATTGAGCTGTCTTGAAACTCTATTTTGTAGAATCTGCAAGTGGACATTTGGAGCGCTTTGAGGCTTATGGTAGAAAAGGAAATATCTTCACATAAAATCTAGACAAAAGCAATCTGAGAAACTTCTTTGTGATGTGTGCATTCATCTCACAGAGTTAAAATTTCTTATGATTGAGCAGTTTTGAAACTCTCTTTTTGTAGAATCTGGAAGTGGACATTTGGAGCCCTTTTAGGCCTATGGTGGAAAAAGAAATATCTTCCCATAAAAACTAGACAGAAGAATTCTGAGAAACTTCTTGGTGATGTGTGCGTTCATCTCACAGAGTTGAAACTTTCTTTTGATTGAGCAGTTTGGAAACTCTCTTTTTGTAGAATCTGCAAGTGGACATTTGGAGCGCTATGCGGCCTATGGTAGAAAAGGAAATATCTTCACATAAAACCTACACAGAAGCAATCTGAGAAACTTCTTTGTGATGTGTGCTTTCATCTCACAGAGTTAAACCTTTCTTTTGATTGAGGGGTTTTGAAACTCTCTTTTTGTAGAATCTGCAAGTGGACAATTGGAGCACTTCGAGGCCTTCGGTGGAAAAGAAAATATCTCCACATAAAAATAGACAGAAGATTTCTGAGAAACTTCTTTGTGATGTGTGCATTCATTTCACAGATTTGAACATTTCTGTTGATTGAGTAGTTTGGAAACTCTCTTTTTTAGAATCTGCAAGTGGACATTTGGAGCGCTTTGCGGCCTATGGTAGAAAAGGAATTATCTTCACATAATATCTAGACAGAAGCAATCTGAGAAACTTCTTTGTGATATGTGCATTCATCTCACAGAGTTAAGCCATTCTTTTGATTGAGCAGTTTTGAACCTCTCTTTTTGTAGACTCTGCAAGTGGACATTTCGAGCACTTTGAGGCTTATGGTGAAAAAGGAAATATCTTCCCATAAAAAGTAGACAGAAGAATTCTGAAAAACTTTGTGATGGGCACGTTCATCTCACAGAGTTGAAACTTTCTTTTGATTGAGCAGTTTGGAAACCCTCTTTTTATAGACTCTGCAAGTGGACATTTGGAGCACGTTGCGGCCTATGGTAGACTAGGAAATATGTTCTCATAAAATCTAGACAGAAGTAATCTGAGAAACAACTTTGTGATGTGTGCATTCATCTCACAGAGATAAACATTTCTTTAGATTGAGCAGTTTTGAAACTGTCTTTTTGTAGAATCTGCAAGTGGACATTTGGAGCGCTTTGAGGCCTATGGTGGAAAAGGAAATATCTTCACATAAAAACTACATAGAAGCATTCTGAGAAGATTTTGTGATGTGCGCATTAATCACCCAGAGTTGAATCTTTCTTTTGAAGGACCAGTTTTGAAATACTCTGTTTGTAGAATCTTCAAGTGGACATTTCGAGTGCCTTGAGGCCTATGGTTTAAAAGGAAATATCTTCACATAAAAACAAGACAGAAGAATTCTGAGAAAGTTCTTTGTGATATGTGCGTTCATCTCGCAGAATTGAGCCTTTCTTTTGATTGAGCAGTGTTGAAACCCTCTTTTTGTAGAATCTGCAAATGGTCATTTGCAGCACTTTGAAGCCTACGGTGGAAAAGGAATTTATCTTCACATAAAAACTAGAGAGAAGAATTCTGACAAACTTCTTTCTGATGTGTGCGTTCATCTCACAGAGTTGAAACTTTCTTTTGATTGAGCTGTTTGGAAACACTCTTTTTGTAGAGTCTGCAAGTGGACATTTGGAGCACTTTGTGGCCTATGATAGAAAAATAAATATCTTCACATAAAATTCAGAGAGAGCCAATCTGAGAAACTACTTTGTGATGTGTGCATTCATTTCACAAGTGAAAACTTTAGTTGGGTTGAGCAGTTTTGAAACTCTCTTTTTGTAGAATCTGCAAGTGGACATTTGGAGCGCTGTTAGGCCTCTGGTGGAAAAGGTAATATCTTCACATAAATACTAGACAGAAGAATTCTGAGAAACTTCTTTGTGATGTGTGCATTAATCTCACTGAGTTGAACCTTCATTTTGATTGAGCATTTTGGAAGCACTCCTTTTGCAGAATCTGCAAGTGCAGATTTGGAGCGCTTTGTGGCCAGTGGTAGAAAAGGAAATACCTGCAAATAAAATCTAGACAGAAGCAATATGAGAAAATAATTTGTGATGTGTGCATTCTTCTCAGAGACTTAAACATTTCTTTTGATGGAGCATTTTTTAAACTCTGTTTTTGTAGAATCTGGAAGTGTACATTTGGAGCGGTTTGAGGACAATGTGGAAAAGAAAATATCTTCACATCAAAACCAGATTGAAGAATACTGGGAAACTTCTTTGTGATGTGTGCGTTCATCTCACAGAGTGGAACCTTTCTTTTGATTGAGCTGTTTGGAAACACTCTTTTTGTAGAATCTGCAAGTGGACATTTGGAGCACTTTGTGGCCTATGGTAGAAAAGGAAATATCTTCACATAGAATTCAGACAGAAGCAATCTGAGAAACTGCTTTGTGATGTGCACATTCATTTCACAGAGTTAAACTTTTCTTTTGATTGAGCTGTCTTGAAACTCTATTTTGTAGAATCTGCAAGTGGACATTTGGAGCACTTTGTGGCCTATGGTAGAAAAGGAAATATCTTCACATAGAATTCAGACAGAAGCAATCTGAGAAACTACTTTGTGATGTGCACATTCATTTCACAGAGTTAAACTTTTCTTTTGATTGAGCTGTCTTGAAACTCTATTTTGTAGAATCTGCAAGTGGACATTTGGAGCACTTTGTGGCCTATGGTAGAAAAGGAAATATCTTCACATAGAATTCAGACAGAAGCAATCTGAGAAACTATTTTGTGATGTGCACATTCATTTCACAGAGTTAAACTTTTCTTTTGATTGAGCTGTCTTGAAACTCTATTTTGTAGAACCTGCAAGTGGACATTTGGAGCGCTTTGAGGCCTATGGTAGTAAAAGAAACATCTTCACATAAAATCTAGACAAAAGCAATCTGAGAAACTTCTTTGTGATGTGTGCTTTCACCTCACAGAGTTAAAACTTTTTTTTGATTGAGCAGTTTTGAAACTCTCTTTTTGTAGAATCTGCAAGTGAAAATTTGGAGCGCTTTTAGGCCTATGGTGGAAAAGGAAATATCTTCCCATAAAAACTAGACAGAAGAATTCTGAGAAACTTCTTTGTGATGTGTGCGTTCATCTCACAGAGTTGAAACTTCCTTTTGATTGAGCAGTTTGGAAACACTCTTTTTGTAGAATCTGCAAGGGACCATTTGGAGTACTGTGAAGCCTATGGTAGACAAGGAAATATCTTCACATAAATTCTAGACAGAAGCAATCTGAGAAACTTCTTTGTGTTGTCTGCATTCATCTCATAGAGTTAAACATTTCTTTTGATTGAGCAGTTTTGAAACTTTTTGTAGAATCTGCAAGTAGACATTCGGAGCACTTTGAGGCCTATGCTGGAAAAGGAAATATCTTCACATAAAAACTAGACAGAAGAATTCTGAGAAACTTCTTTGTGATGTGTGCACTCATATCACAGAGTTGGACCTTTCTTTTTATTGAGCAGTTTGGAAACACTGTTTTTGTAGAATCTGCAACTGGACATTTGGAGAGCTTTAAGGCCTATCTTTGAAAAGGAAATATCTTCACATAAAAACTAGACAGAAGAATTCTGAGAAATATCTTTGTGAGGTGTGCATTCATCTCACAGAGTAAAACATTTTATTGATTGAGCAGTTTTGGAACTCTCTTTTCATTGAATCTGCAAGTGGACATTTGGAGCGCTTTGCGGCCTCTGGTGGAAAAAGAAATACCTTCACATAAAAACTAGACAGAAGAATTCTGAGAAACTTCTTCGTGATGTGTGCTTTCATGTTACAGAGTTGAAGCTTTCTTTTGATTGAGCAGTTTGGAAACATTCTTTTGTAGAATGTGTAAGTGGATATTTGGAGCACTTTGCGGCCTATGATAGAAAAGGAAATATCTTCACATAAAATCTAGACAGAAGAAATCTGAGAAACTTGTTTGTGATGTGTGCATTCATCTAACAGAGTTAAAACTTTCTCTTTATTGAGCAGTTTTGAAACTCTCTTTTTTTAGAATCTGCATGTGGACATTTGGAGCGCTTTGAGGCCTATGGTGGTAAAGGAAATATCTTCACATAAAAACTAGATAGAAGCATTCTGAGAAACCTCTTTGTGATGTGTGGGTTCATATCACAGAGTTGAAACTTTCTTTTGATTGACCAGTTCAGAAACACTCCTTTTGTATAATCTGCACGTGGATATTTGGAGTGCTTTGCGTCCTATGGTAGAAAAGGAAATTTCTTCACATAAAATGTAGACAGAAGCAATCTGAGAAACGTCTTTGTGATGAGCGCATTCGTCTCACAGATTTAAACCTTTCTTTTGATTGAGCAGTTTTTAAACTACCTTTTTGTAGAATCTGCAAGTGGACATTTGGAGTGCTTTGAGGCCAATGTTGGAAAAGGATATATCTTCACATAAAAGCTACACAGAAGAATTCTGAGAAACATCTTTGTGATGGGTGCATTCACCTCAGAGTTGAACCTTCCTTTTGATTGAGCAGTTTGGAAACCCTCTTTTTGTGGAAACTGCAAGTGGATATTTGGAGGAATTTGTGGCCTATGCTAGAAAAGGAAATATCTTCATATAAAATCTAGACAGAAGCAATCTGAGAAACTTCTTTGTGATGTGTGCATGCATCTCACTGAGTTAAACCATTCTTTCAATTGAGCAGTTTTGAAACTCTCTTTTTTTAGAATCTGCAAGTAGATATTTGGAGCTGTTTCAGGACGATGGTGGAAAAGGAAGTATCGTCATATAAAAACTAGCCAGAAGATTTCTGAGAAACTTCTTTGTGATGTGTGCATTCATCCCACAGAGTTGAACTTTTTTTTTGATTAAGCAGTTTGGAAACACTCTTTTTGTAGAATCTGCATGTGGACACTTGGAGCACTTTGAAGCCTATGGTGGAAAAGGAAATATCTTCACATAAAACCTAGACAGAAGCAATCTGAGAAACTTCTTTGTGATGTGTGCATTCATCTCACAGAGTTGAACCTTCCTTTTGATTGAGCAGTTTGGAATCCCTCTTTTTGTAGAATGTGCAAGTGGACATTTGGAGCGCTTTGCGGACTATGGTAGAAAAGGAAATATCTTCACATTAAATCTAGACAGAAGCAATCTGAGAAATTTCTTTGGGATGTGTGCATTCGTCTCACAGAGTTAAACCTTCCTTTTGATAGAGCAGTATTGAAACTCTCTTTTTGTAGAATCTGCAAGTGGACATTTGGAGTGCTTTCAGGCCTATGGTGGAAAAGGAAATATCTTCACATAAAAACTAGACAGAAGAATTTGGACAAACTTCTTTGTGATGTGTGCATTCATCTCACAGAATTGAGCCTTTCTTTTGATTGAGCAGTGTTGAAACCCTCTTCTTGTAGAATCTGCAAATTGTCCTTTGGAGTGCTTTGAGGCCTATGGTGGAAAAGGAATTTATCTTCACATAAAAACTAGAGAGAATTCTGACAAACTTCTTTATGATGTATGCGTTCATCTCACAGAGTTCAAACTTTCTTTTGATTGAGCAGCTTGGAAAGAGTCTTTTTGTAGAATCTGCAAGTGGACATTTGGAGTGCTTTTTGGCCTATGGACGAAAACGAAATATCTTCATATAAAATCTAGACAGTAGCAATCTGAGAAACTTCTTTGTAATGTGTGCATTCAACTCAGAGAGTTAAAACTTCAGTTTGATTGAGCAGTTTTGAAACTCTCTTTTTGTAGAATCTGCAAGTGGACATTTGGAGCGCTTTGAGGTCTATGGTAGAAAAGGAAATATCTTCACATAAAAACTAGACAGAAGAATTCTGACAAACTTCCTTGTGATGTGTGTGTTCATCTCACTGAGTTGAATCTTTATTTTGATTGAGTAGTTTGGAAACACTCTTTTTGTAGAATCTGCAAGTGGACATTTGGAGCACTTTTCGGCCTATGGTAGAAAAGGAAATACCTTCACATAAAATCTAGACAGAAGCAATCTGAGAAACTTCTTTCTGATGTATGCATTTATCTCACAGAGTTAAACCTTTCTTTTGATTGAGCAGTTTTGAGACTCTCTTTTTGTAGAATCTGCCAGTGGACATTTGGAGTGCTTTGAGGTGTACGGTGGAAAAGGAAATATCTTCACATAAAAACTAGACAGAAGAATTCTGACAGACTTCTTTGTGATGTTTGTGTTCATCTCACAGAGTAGAACCTTTCTTTTGATAGAGCAGTTTTGAAACTCTCTTTTTATAGAATGTGCAAGTGGACATTTGGAGCACTTTCAGGCCTATGGTGGAAAAGGAAATATCTTCACATAAAAAAATGACAGAAAAATTCTGAGAAACTTCTTTTTGATGAATGCGTTCATCTGAGAGAGTTGAACCTTTCCTTTGATTGAGCAGTTTGGAAACACTCTTTTTGTAGAATCTGCAAGTGGACATTTGGAGTGCTTTGAGGCCTATGGTGGAAAAGGAAATATCTTCACATAAAATCTAACAGAAGCAATCAGAGAAACTTCATTGTGATATGTGCATTAATTTCAGAGAGTTGAACTTTTCTTTTCATGGAGTAGTTTTGAAACTCTCTTTTTGTAAAATCTGCAAGTGGACTTTTGGAGCGCTTTGAAGCCTATGGTGGAAATGGAAATATCTTCATATAAAATCTAGACTGAAGAATTCTGAGAAACTTCTTTTTGAAGTGTGTTTTCATCTCATTTGAACTTTCCTTACGATTGAGCAGTCTGGAAACACTCTTTTTGCAGAATCTGCAAGTGAACATTTGGTGTGTTTTGCAGCCTATGGTTGAAAAGGAAATATCTCCATATAAAATCTAGACAGAAGTAATCTGAGAAACTCCTTTCTGATGCGTGCATTGATCTCATAGAGTTTAACCTTTCTTTTGATTCAGCAGTTTTGAAACTCTCTTTTTGTAATATCTGCAAGTGGACATGTGGTGCGCTTTGAGGCCTATGGTGGAATAGGAAATATCTTCACATAAAAAATAGATAGAAGCATTCTGTGAAACTTCTTTGTGATGTGTGCATTCATCTCCCAAGTCTGAACCTTTCTTTTGATGGACTAGTTTTGAAATACTCTTTTCGTGGAATCTGCAAGTGGACATTTCGAGCGCATTAAGGTCTATGGTGGAAAATGAAATATCTTCACATAAAAACTAGACAGAAGAATTTTGAGAAACTTCTTTGTTTTTTGTGCTTTATTCTCACAGAGTTGAATCTTTCTTTTATTTGAGCAGTTTGGAAACACTCTTTTTGAAGGGTCTGCAAGTGGACATTTGGAGTGCTTTGCGGCCTATGGTAGGAAAGGAAATATCTTCACATAAAATATAGACAGAAGCAATCTGTGAAGCTTCTTTGTGAAGTGTGCATTCGTCTCAGAGTTAAACCTTTCTTTTGATTGAGCAGTTTTGAAACTCACTTTTTGAGGAATTTGCAAGGGGACATATGGAGCATTTTGTGGCCTATGGTGGAAAAGGAAATACCTTCGCAAAAAACTAGACAGAAGAATTCTGAGAAACTATTTTGTGATGTGTGCGTTCATCTCACAGAGTTAAACTTTTTTTGATCGAGCAGTTTGGAACCACACTTTTTGAACAATCTGCAAGTGGACATTTGAAGCTCTTTGAGAACTGTGGTGGAAAAGGAAATATCTTCACATAAAAACTAGACAGAAGAATACTGTGAAATCACTTTGTGATGCGTGCGTTCATCACACAGAGTTGAAAGTTTCCTTTCATTGGGCTGTTTGGAAACACTCTTTTTGTAGAATCTACAAGTGGACAATTTTAGCGCTTTGCGGCCTATGGTAGAAAAGGAAATATCTTCACATAAAATCTAGACAGAAGCAATCTGACAAACTTCTTTGTGATGTGTGCATTCATCTCACAGAGTTAAACCTTTCTTTTTATTGAGCAGTTTTGAAACTCTCTTTTTGTAGTATCTGCAAGTGGACATTTGGAGCCCTTTTAGGCCTGTGGTAGAAAAGGAAATCTCTTCACATAAAAACTAGACAGAAGAATTTTGAAAAACTTCTTTGTGATGCGAGCTTTCATCTCCCATAGTTGAAACTTTCTTTTGATACAGCAGGTTGGAAACACTCTTTTGTAGAATCTGCAAGTGCACATTTGGAGTGCTTTGCGGCCTGTAGTAGAAAAGGAAATATCTTCACATAAAGTCTAGACAGAAGAAATCTGAGAAACTTCTTTGTGATGTGTGCATTCATCTCATGGAGTTAAACTTTTCTTTTGATTGAGCAGTCTTGAAGCTCTCTTTTTGTAGAATCCGCAAATGGATATTTGGAACTCTTTGAGGCCAACAGTGGAAAAGGAAATATCTGCACATAAAAACTAGACAGAAGAATTCTGAGAAACTTCTTTGGGACGTGTGCATTCATCTCACAGATTTGAACCTATCTTTTGATTGAACAGTTCGGAGACACTCTTTCTGTAGAATATGCAAGTGGACATTTGGAGAACTTTGTGGCGTATGGTAGAAAAGGAAATATCTTCACATAAAATCTAGACAGAAGCCATCTGAGAAACTTCTTTGTGATGTGTGCATTCATCTCATAGAGTTAAACCTTTCTTTTGATTGAGCAGTTTGGAAACACTCTTTTTGTAGAATCTCAAAGTGGACATTTGGAGCACTTAGAGGCCTATGGTGGAAAAGGAAATATCTTCACATAAAAACTAGATGGAAGAATTCTGATAATCTTCTTTGTGATGTGTGTGTTCATCTCACAAAGCTGAAATTTTCTTTTGATTGAGCAGTTTGGAAACACTCTTTTTGTAGAATCTGCAAGTGGACATTTGCAACGCTTTGCGGCCTGTGGTTGAAACAGAAATATCTTCACATAAAATCTAGAAAGAAACAATCTGAGAAACTTCTTTGTGATGTGTGCATTCATCTCACAGAGTTAAACCTTTCTTTGGATTGAGCGGTTTTGAAACTCTCTTTTTGTAGAATCTGCAAGTGGACATTTGGAGAGCTTTGAGGCCTATGGTGGAAAAGGTAATATCTTCACATAAAAACTAGACAGAAGAATTGTGACAAACTTCTTGGGAATGTGTGCGTTCATCTCACAGACTTGAACCTTTGTTTTGATTGAGCAGTTTGGAAACACTCTTTTTTGTAGAATCTGCAAATGGACATTTGAAGCACTTTGCGACCTATGGTAGAAAAAGTAATACCTTCACATAAAATCTAGAGAGAAGAAATCGGAGAAACTTCTTAGTGATGGGTGCATTCATCTCACAGAGTTTAAACTTTCTTTTGATTCAGCAGTTTTGAAACTCTCTTTTTGTAGAATCTGCAAGTGGACATTTGGAACGCTTGAGGCCTATGGTGGAAAAGGAAATATCTTCACATAAAAACTAGAAAGAAGAATTCTGACAAACTTCTTTGTGATGTGTGCGTTCTTCTCACAGAGTGTAACCGTTCTTTCGATTGAGCAGTTTGGTACCACTCTTTCTTGTAGAGTCTGCAAGTGGACATTTGGAGCGCTTTGCAGTCTATGGTAGAAAAGTAAATATCTTCACATATAATCTAGACAGAAGCAATATGAGAAACTTGTTTGTGATATATGCATTCATCTCACAGAGATAACCCTTTCTTTTGATTGAGCAGTTTTGAAACTCTCTTTTTGTAGAATCTGCAAGTGAACATTTAGAGCGTCTTGAGGCCTATGGTGGAACAGGAAATATCTTCACGTAAAAATTAGACAGAAGAATTCTGAGAAACTTCTTTGTGATGAGTGTGTTCATCTCACAGAGTTGAACGTTTCTTTTGATTGAGTAGTTTGGAAACACTCTTTTTGTAGAATCTGCAAGTGGACATTTGGAACTCTTTGCGGCCAATGGTAGAAAAGGAAATATCTTCACATAAAATCTAGACAGAAGCAATCTGAGAAACTTTTGTGATGCGTGCATTAATCTCACAGAGTTAAACCTTTCTTTTGATTGAGCAGATTGGAAACTCTCTTTTTGTAGAATCTGCAAGTGGACATTTGGCAGCGCTTCGAGGCCTGTGGTGGAGAAGGAAATATCTTCACATAAAAAGTAGATAGAAGCATTCTGAGAAAGTTCTCTGTGATGTCTGCACTCATCTCCTGGAGTTCCAACTTTCTTTAGGAGAACCAGTTTTCAAATACTCTTTTTGGAGAATCTGCAAGGGGACATTTCAAGCACCTTGAGGCTTAAGTTGGAAAAGGAAATATCTTCACACAAAAAAAGAAGAATTCTGAGAATCTTTTTTATGATGTGTACGTTCATCTAACAGAGTTGAACCTTTCTTTTGATTGTGTAGTTTGGAAACACCCTTTTTGTAGAATCAGCAAGTGGACATTTGGAGCGCTTTGTGGCCTATGATAGAAAAGGAAATATCTTCACATAAAATCTAGAAGGAAGCAATCTGAGAAACTCCTTTGTGATGTGTTCATTCATCTCACAGAGTTGAAACTTTCTTTTGATTGAGCAGTTTTGAAACACTCTCTTCGTGGAATCTGCAAGTGGATATTTGGAGCCCTTTGAGGCCTATTGTGGAAAAGGAAATTTCTTCACATAAAAACTACTCAGAAGCATTCTGAGAAACACCATTGTCATGTTTGCATTCAACTCACAGAGTTGAAACTACATTTTGATTGAGCAGTTTTGAATCTCTCTTTTTGCAGAAACTACAAGTGTATGTTTGGAAAGCTTTGAGGCCTATTGTGGAAAAGGAAATATCTTCACATAAAAACTACACAGAAGCATTCTGAGAAACTACTTTATGAGGTGTGCATTCAACTCACAGAGTTGAAATTATCTTTTCTTTGAGGAGTTTTCAATCTCACTTTTTGTAGAATCTGCAAGTGGATATTTGACGACCTTTGTGCCCTATGGTGGAAAAGGAAATATCTTGAAATAAAAACTACACAGAAGCATTCAGAGAAACTTCTTCGTGATATGTGCATTCAACTCACAGAGTTGAACCTATCTTTTGATTGAGCAGTTTTGAATCTCTCTGTTTGCACAATCTGAAGGTGGATATTTTGAGCCCTTTGAGGCCTACAGTGGAAAAGCAAATATCTTCACATAAAAACTATGCAGAAGCATTGTGAGAAACTACTTTGTGAGGTGTGCATTCAACTCACAGAGTTGAACTTATCTTCTCATTGAGCAGTTTTGAATTTATCTTTTGGTAGAATCTCCAAGTGGATATTTGGAGCCCTTTGCGCCCTATGGTGGAAAAGGAAATATCTTCAAATAAAAACTACACAGAATCACTCAGAGAAACTGCTTTGTGATGTGTGCATTCATCTCACAGGGTTGAACCTAGCTTATGATTGAGCAGTTTTGAAACACTCTTTTTGTAGGATCTTCAAGTGGATATTTGGAGCGCTTTGAGGCCTACAGTGGAAAACCAAATATCTTCAAATAAGAACTACACAGAAGCATTCTGAGAAACTTCTTTGTGATGTGTGCATTCATCTCACAGAGTTGAAACTTTCTTTTGATTGAGCAGTTTTGAAACACTCTTTCTGTTGAATCTGCAAGTGGATATTTGGAGCCCTCTGCAGCCTATGGTGGAAAAGGAAATATCTTCAAATAAAAACTACAAAGAAGCATTCCCAGAAACTTCTTAATGATGTATGCGTTCAACTCACAGAGTTGAACCTATCTTTTGATTGAACAGTTTTGAATCTCTCTTTTTGTAGAATCTGCAAGTGGATATTTGGAGCGCTGTGAGGCCTATTGTGGAAAATCAAATATGTTCACATAAAAACTACAGAGAAGCATTCTGAGAAACTTCTTTGTGCTGTGTGCATTCAACTCACAGAGTTCAACCTGTCTTTCAATTAGCACTTTTGAATCTCTCTTTTTGCAGAATCTGCAAGTGGATGTTGGGAGAGCTTTGAGGCCTATGGTGGAAAAGGAAATAGCTTCACATAAAAACTACACAGAAGCATTCTGAGAAACTTCTTTGTGATGTGTGCATTCATCTCACAGAGTTGAACCTTTCTTTTGATTGAGCAGTTTTGAAACACTCTTTTTGTAGAATCTGCAAGTGGATATTTGGAGAACTTTGAGGCCTATTGTGGAAAAGGAAATATCTTCACATAAAATCTACTCAGAAGCACTCTGAGAAACTTCTTTCTGATATGGGCATTCAACTCACAGAGTTGAACCTTTCTTTTGATTGAGCAGTTTTGAAACACTCTTTTTGTAGAATCTGCAAGTGGATATTTGGAGCCCTTTGCACCCTATGGTTGAAAAGGAAATATCTTCAATAAAAACTACACAGAAGAATTCTAAGAAACTTCTTCGTGATGTGTGCATTCAACTGACTGAGTTGAACTTATCTTCTCATTGAGTAGTTTTCAATCTCTGTTTTGTAGAATCTGGAAGTGGATGTTTGGAGCCCTTTCACCCTATTGTGGAAAAGGAAATATCTGCAAATAAAACTACACAGAATCATTCAGAGAAACTTCTTTGTGATGTACACATTCAACTCACAGAGTTGATCCTATCTTTTGATTGAGCAGTTTTGAATCCCTCTTTTTGCAGAATCTGCAGGTGGATATCTGGAGCCTTTTGAGGCTTACTGTGGAAAATCAAATATGTTCACATAAAAACTACACAGAAAGATTCTGAGAAGCTTCTTTGCGATGTGTGCATTCAAGTCACAGAGTTGAACCTATCTTTTGATTGAGCAGTTTTGAATCTCTCTTTTTGCAGAACCTGTATGTGGATGTTTGGAGAGCTTGGAGGCCTATTGTGGAAAAGGAAATATCTTCACATAAAAACTACAGAGAAGCATTCTGAGAAACTTCTTTGTGAGGTATGCATTCAACTCACAGAGTTGATCTTATCTTCTCATTGAGCAGTTTTGAATCTCTCCTTTTGTAGAATCTGCAAGTGGATATTTGGAGCCCTTTGAGCCCTGTGGTGCAAAAGGAAATATCTTGAAATAAAAACTACAAAGAAGCATTCAGACAAACTTCTTTGTGATGTATGCATTCAACTCACAGAGTTGAACGTATCTTTTGATTGAGCAGTTTTGAATCTCTCTTTTTGCAAAATCTGCAGGTGGATATTTGGAGCCCTTTGAGGCCTACTGTGGAAAAGCAAATATCTTCACATAAAAATTACACAGAAGTATTCTGAGAAACTACTTCGTGACGTGTGCATTCATCTCACAGGGTTGAATCTATCTCATGATTGAGCAGTTTTGAAACACTCTTTTTGTAGAATATGGAAGTGGATATTTGGAGCCCATTGAGGCCTATAGTGGAAAGGAAATATCTTCACATAAAAACAACACAGAAGGATTCTGAGAAACTTCTTTGTGATGTGTGCATTCATCTCACTGAGTTGAATCTTTCTTTTCATTGCGCAGTTTTGAAACACCATTTTTGTACAATCTGCAAGTGGATATTTGGAGAACTTTGCCGCCTATTGTGGAAAAGGAAACATCTTCACATAAAAACTACTCAGAAGCATTCTGAGAAACTTCTTTGTGATGTGGGCATTCAACTCACAGAGTTGAACCTATCTTTTGATTGAGCAGTTTAGAGTCTCTCTTTTTCTATAATCTGCAAGTGGATATTTGGAGCCCTTTGCACCCTATGGTGGAAAAGAAAATATCTTCAATAAAAACTACACAGAAGCATTCTAAGAAACTTCTTCATGATGTGTACAGTCAACTCATTGAGTTGAACTTATCTTCTCAATGAGCAGTTTTGAATCTCTGGTTTTGTAGATTCTGCAAGTAGATATTTAGAGCCCTTTGTGCCCTATCGTGGAAAAGGAATTATCTTCAAATAGAACTACACAGAACCATTCAGAGAAACTTCTTTCTGATGTATGCATTCCACTCACAAAGTTGAACCTATCTTTTGATTGAGCAGTTTTGAATACCTCTTTTTGCTGAATCTGCAAGTGGATATTTGGAGCATTTTGAGGCCTGCTGTGGAAAATCAAATATGTTCACATAAAAACTACACAGAATCACTCAGAGAAACTGCTTTGTGATGTGTGCATTCAACTCACAGAGTTGAACCTATCTTTTGATTGAGCAGTTTTGAATCTCTCTTTTTGTAGAATCTGCAAGTGGATATTAGGAGCCCTTTGCGTCCTATGGTGGAAAAGGAAATATCTTCAAATAAAAACTACATAGAAGCATTCAGAGAAACTGCTTTGTGATGCGTGCATTCAACTCACAGAGGTGAACTTATGTTTTGTTTGAGCAGTTTTGAAACTCTCTTTATGCAGAATCTGCAGGTGGATATTTGGAGACCTTCGAGGCCTACTGTGGAAAAGGAAATAACTTCAAATAAAAACTATACAGAAGCATTCTCAGAAACTTCTTCATGATGTATGCATTCAACTCACAGAGTTGAACCTATCTTTTGATTGAACAGTTTTGAATCTCTCTTTTTGCACAATCTGCAAGTGGATATTTGGAGCGTTGTGAGGCCTACTGTGGAAAATCAAATATGTTCACATAAAAACTAAACAGAAGCATTCTGAGAAACTTCTTTGTGATGTGTGCATTCAACTCACAGAGTTGAACCTATCTTTTGATTGAGCAGTTTTGAATCTCTCTTTTTGCAGAATCTGTTAGTGGATGTTTGGAGAGCTTTGAGGACTATTGTGGAAAAGGAAATATCTTCACATAAAAACTACAGAGAAGTATTCTGAGAAACTTCTTTGTGAGGTGTGCATTCAACTCACAGAGTTGATCTTATCTTCTCATTGAGCAGTTTTGAATCTCTTTTTTTGTAGAATCTGCAAGTGGATATTTGGAGCCCTTTGAGCCCTATGGTGCAAAAGGAAATATCTTGAAATAAAAACTACAAAGAAGCATTCAGACAAACTTATTTGCGATGTGTGCATTCAACTCACAGAGTTGAAAATATCTTTTGATTCAGCAGTTTTGAATCTCTCTTTTTGCAGAATCTGCAGGTGGATATTTGGAGCCCTTTGAGGACTACTGTGGAAAAGCAAATATCCTCACATAAAAATTACACAGAAGCATTCTGTGAAACTACTTCATGACGTGTGAATTCATCTCACAGGGATGAATTTATCTCATGATTGAGCAGTTTTGAAACACTCTTTTTGTAGAATATGGAAGTGGATATTTGGAGCCCACTGAGGCCCACAGTGGTAAGGAAATATCTTCACATAAAAACAACACAGAAGGATTCTGAGAAACTTCTTTGTGATGTGTGCATTCATCTCACAGGGTTGAAACTTTCTTTTCATTGAGCAGTTTTGAAACACCGTTTTTGTAGAATCTTCAAGTGGATATTTGGAGAACTTTGCTGCTTATTGTGGAAAAGGAAACATCTTCACATAAAAACTACTCAGAAGCATTCTGAGAAACTTCTTTGTGATGTGGGCATTCAACTCACAGAGTTGAACCTATCTGTTGATTGAGCAGTTTAGAGTTTCTCTTTTTCTAGCATCTGCAAGAGGATATTTGGAGCCCAATGCGCCCTATGGTGGAAAAGGAAATATCTTCAATAAAAACTGCACAGAAGCATTCTAAGAAACTTCTTCGTGATGTGTACATTCAAATCACTGAGTCGAACTTATCTTCTCAATGAGCAGTTTTGAATCTCTGGTTTTGTAGAATCTACAAGTGGATATTTGGAGCCATTTGTGCCCTATGGTGGAAAAGGAATTATCTTTAAATAAAACTACACAGAACCATTCAGAGAAACTTCTTTGTGATGTATGCATTCAACTCACAAAGATGAACCTATCTTTTGATTGGGCAGTTTAGAATCTCTCTTTTGAAGAAACTGCAAGTGGATATTTGGAGCCCTTTGCGCTCTGTGTTGGAAAAGGAAATATCTTTAAATAAAAACAACACAGAAGTAGTCAGATAAACTTCTTTGTGCTGTCTGCATTAAACTCAGAGAGTTGAAACTTCCTTTTGGTAGAGCAGTTTTGAAACACTCTTTTTGTAGAATCTGCAGGTGGATATTTGGAGTGCTTTGAGACCTATGGTAGAAAAGGAAATATGTTCATACAGAAACTAGATAGAAGCATTCACAGAAACTACTTTGTGATGTGTGCATTCAACTCAAAGAGTTGAACATTCCTTTAGTCAGAGCAGTTTTGCAGCACTCTTTTTGTAGAATCTGCAAGTGGATACTTGGACTGCTCTGAGGCCTATGTTGGAAAAGGAAATATCATCACACAAAAACTAGACAGAAGCATTCTCAGAAACTTCTTTGTGATTTGTGCATTCAACTCATGGAGTTCACCATTGCTCTTGACAGAACAGTTTTGAAACACACTTTTTGTAGAATCTGCAAGTGGATATTTGGAGTGCTTTGAGGTCTTCGGTGGAAACAGGAATACCTTCACATAAACACTAGACAGAAGCATTCTCAGAAACTTCTTTGTGATGTGTGCATTCAATTCACAGAGTTGAACCTTCTTTTCGATAGAGCAGTTTTGAGACACTGTTTTTGTATAATCTGCAAGTGGACATTTGGATCGCTCTTAGGCCTACGGTGGAAATGGAAATATTTTTAGATAAAAACCAGAAAGAAGAATTCTCAGAAACTTCTTTGTGATGTGTGCATTCAACTCAGAGAGTTGAACCTTTCTTTTGATAGAGCAGGTTTGAAATACTTTTTTGTAGAATCTGCAAGTGGACATTTGCAGCACTTTGAGGCCAATGGTGGAAAAGGAAATAACTTCAAATAAAAACTAGACAGAAGCATTCTCAGAAACTTCTTTGTGATGTTTGCATTCAACCCACAGATTTGAACATACCTTATCATAGAGCAGTTTTGAAACACTCTTTTAGTAGACTTCGTAAGGGGATATTTGGACCGCTCTGAGGCCTTCGCTGGAAACGGGAATACCTTCACATAAAGACTAGACAGAAGCATTCTCTGAAACCTCTTAGTGATGTGTGCATTCAACTCACAGAGTTGAATTTTTCTTTTGATAGAGCAGGTTTGAAACACTCTTTTTGTAGAATCTGCAAGTGGATATTTGGATAGCTTTGAGGATTTCGTTGGAAACGGGAATATCTTCAATTAAAAACTATACAGAAGCATTCTCAGAAACTTCTTTGTGATGTGTGCATTCAAGTCACAGAGTTGAATCTTTCTTTTGATAGAGCAGATTGGAACCACTTTTGTTGTAGTATTTGCAAGTGGATGTTTGGACAGCTTTGAGGCCTTCGTTGGAAACGGGTATCCCTTCACATAAAAACTACACAGAAGCATTCTCAGAAACTTCCTTGTGGTGCTTGCAATCAACTCACTGAGTGGAACATTCCTTTTCATAGAGTAGTTTTGAAACACTTTTTTTGTAGAATCTGTAAGTGGAAACTTGAAGCGCTTTGAGGCCTATGGTGAAAAACAAAATATCTTCCCATAAAAACTAGACAGAAGAACTCTCAGAAACTTCTTTGTGATGTGTGTACTCAATTAACAGAGTTGAACTTTTCTTTTGATAGAGCTGTTTTGAAACACACTTTTTGTAAAATCTGCAAGTGCATATTTGGATATCTTTGAGGATTTCATTCGAAACGGGATTATCTTCACATAAAAACCAGACAGAAGCATTCTCAGAAACCACTTTGTGATGTTTGCATTCAACTCTCAGAGTTGAACATTCCTTTTCATACAGAAGTTCTGAAACACTCTTTTTTTTGTATCTGGTAGTGGACATTTGGAGCGCTTTGAGGCCTATGGTAAAAAACGAAATATCCTCACATAAAAACGAGACAGAAGCATTCTCAGAAACTTCTTTGTCATGTGTGTACTCAACTCACAGAGTTTAACCTTTCTTTTGATACAGCACGTTTGAAACACTCCTTTTTAGAATCTGCAAGTGGATATTTAGATAGCTTTGAGGCTTTCGTTGTAAAGGGGGAATATCTTCATGTAAAAACTAGACAGAAGCATTCTCAGAAACTTCTTTGTTATCTTTGCATTCCACTCACAGAGTTGAACATTCCCTTTCATAGAGCAGTTTTGAAACTCTCTTTTTGTGAAATCTGCAAGTGGACATTTGGAGCGATTTGAGACCTATGGTGAAAAACGAAATATCTTCACCTAAAAAGTGGACGGAAGGATTCTCAGAAACTACTTTGTGACGTGTTTACTCAACTTACAGAGTTAAACCTTTCCTTTGATAAGGCAGTTTTGAAAAACTGTTTTTGTAGACTTTACAAGTGGATATTAGGACAGCTTTGAGTATTTCATTGGAAACGGGAATAACTTCACATAGAAACTAGAGAGAAGCATTCTCAGAAACTTCTTTGTGATGCTTGCATTCAACTCACTGAGTTGAACATTCCTTTTCATAGAGCAGTTTGGAAACACAATTTTTGTAGTATATGGAAGTGGAAACTTGGAGCGCTTTGAGGCCTATGGTGAGAAAGGAAATATCTTCCATAAAAACTAGACAGAAGAATTCTCAGAAACTTCTTTGTGATGTGTGTACTCAACTCACAGAGTTGAACTTTTCTTTTGATAGAGCAGTTTTGAAACACACTTTTTGTAGAATCTGCAAGTGGATATATGGATAGCTTTGAGGATTTTGTTGGAAACAGGAATATCTTCACATAAAAACAAGACAGAAGCATTCTCAGAAACCTCTTTGTGATGTGTGTACTCAACTCACAGAGTTTAACATTTCTTTTGATACACCAGTTTGAAACAGTCTTTTTGTAGTATCTACAAGTGGATATTTGGATAGCTTGGCAGCTTTCATTGGAAACGGGAATATCTTCACATAAAAACTAGACAGAAGCATTCTCAGAAACTTCTTTTTGGTGCTTGCAATCAACTCAGTGAGTTGAATATTCCTTTTCACAGAGCAGTTTTAAGACACTCTTTTTGTCGAATCTGCAAATGGAAACTCGGAGGGCGTTGAGGACTATTGTGAAAAAGGAAATATCTTCCCATAAAAACTAGACAGAAGAATTCTCAGAATCTTCCTTGTGATGTGTGTACTGAACTCACAGAGTTGAACCTTTCCTTTGATACAGCAGTTTTGAAACACTCTTTTTGTAGAATCTGCAAGTGGATATTTGGATAGCTTTGAGGTTTTCGTTAGAAACGGGAATATCTTCAGATAAAATCTAGACAGAAGCATTATCAGAAACATCTTTGTGATGTTTGCATTCAAGTCACAAAGTTGAACATTCGCTTTCATAGAGCAGGTTTGAAACACTCTTTTTGTAGTATCTGCAACTGGACATTTGGAGCGCTTTGTGGCCTATGGTGAAAAAGGAAATATCTTCCCATAAAAACTAGACAGAAGCATTCTCAGAAACTTGTTTGTGATGTGTGTACTCAACTGACAGAGTTGAACCTTTCTTTTGATAGAGCAGTTTTGAAACACTCTTTTTGTAGAATCTGCAAGTGGATATTTGGATAGCTTTGAGGATTTCGTTGGAAACGGGAATATCTTCATATAAAATCTAGACAGAAGCATTCTCAGAAACATCTCTGTGATGTTTGCATTCAAGTCACAGAGTTGAACATTCCCTTTCATAGAGCAGGTTTGAAACACTCTTTTTGTAGTATCTGGAAGTGCACATTTGGAGCGCATTGAGGCCTAAGGTGAAAAAGGAAATATCTTCCCATAAAAACTAGACAGAAGCATTCTCAGAAACTTGTTTAGGATGTGTGTACTCAACTAACAGAGTTGAAACTTTCTTTTGATAGAGCAAAACAGTAAATTGAAGTTTAAAATAATTGTAACAATTGCATCTCATATATCAGGTGAGATTTCATAGTTTGGTTCAAGTAGTTTTCAAGTGACAAATTTTCAAGTTTTTAAGTTTTCAAGAGTTGTGCAAGTTCATCAGCCAGAAATCAAGCAAAAGGCTAGATAAGTAGCAGCAGGTGCAGGATTCTTGATATTGAAACTTTTAGGACTTTTCTCCTTCAGGATTCCAATGTTGTACATTTTATTTCCAGTATAACCCCTATGCATGGGATAAAGTAGTTTCACATGTTTGATTTTTCTAATTAGTTATTTGGGTTTCAAAATGTCCAGTTTATCAAAAAATCTTGTGCTGTGTACTGGGGACCATCTACTATAGCCTGATCATTGAATTTTTCAAGAACCTAAGGGGTTCCCTAAGTCCAAGGAAGACAATCAGTGTCTACAAGTCAGGAGGAGAAGGGGAAAGGGCATTCTAATCATTGCTTTGTTTTCATTGATTCTGTTGCTGCTTTCTTGCCATTGAAACTACTCTTGCAGTCTGGTAATGATTAACCTTTGCCACCAGGATGCCCTTTCTGTTTGAGATCCCTCAATCTTCATGTTGATCCATAAAAAGGCTTCAAAGTTACAACTATTTTTTTTAGTTCCCAGACTAACAAAAATAATCTAGCTTTTTGTCTTGACTACCAACCACTCTGGATTTTTTTTTTTTTTTTTTTTTTTTTGAGATGGAGTCTCGCCCTGTCGCCCAGGCTAGAGTGCAGTGGCGTGATCTTGGCTCACATAACCTCCACCTCCCAGGTTCAAGCAATTCTCTTATCTCAGCCTCCGAAGTATCTGGGACTATAGGCACACACCACCATGCCCGGCTAATTTTTGTATTTTCAGTAGAGATGGGGTTTCACCATGTTGGTCATGCTGCTCTTGAACTCCTGACCTCAGGTGATCCATCTGCCTTGGCCTCCCAAAGTGCTAGGATTACAGGCATGAGCCACCATGCCCGGCCCACTCTGGATTTAAGGACAGTTCTTCCTTCAATCAGCAGCCAAAGAGTCCTGATTCCTGATTCTAATTAAGAAGTTTAACTTGGTATTCTATTTCTGATGGAAGGATGGCTGAAAGAAGGGAGACTCAAACAACAGATGAAGGCAAAATACTCTGTACTGAATTTTCAATGTAATCTTAAATTCTATGTTTAATTGAGATGACCCAAATTCTTTTTTTTTTTTTTTTTGATACGCAGTCTCGCTCTGTTGCCCAGGCTAAAGTGCAGTGGCATGATCTCGGCTCACTGCAACCTCCACCTCCCGGGTTCACACCATTCTCCTGCCTCAGCCTCCCAAGTAGCAGGGACTACAGGCACCCGCCACCACACCTGGCTAACTTTTTGTATTTTTAGTGGAGACAGAGATGACCCAAATTCTTAACTGCCTCATAAATACTGTTAATATATTGAAAGTTTTGCCCTAGGCTTTTATTAAAGTCAACTATATAGAAAAAGTTTCTCCTATCTTGAGATGTATTATTAAAGACATCATCCCCAATAATATTCCATATTCTCTGTTTAGGAACCCCAATTGTTTTCAAATTCAAGAATTCAGAGAAATCTACTCGTTACAAAAGAGTAGAATGGATAATGGGCACCACATCCTGAAGTGTATTTTAATAAAAATTCATGTAAGATGGTTCAAAATTTCATTAACTACTTTATATAAAAAGAAATGCCTGGGAGAATTCTGTTTCTAGCAGAGTGGCAGACTGATGCCTTGAACAACCCTCCTATTACAAAACTGAATACTCCACATGAAAACAAATCTTTTCAAATGCATTGTTAAGCTGTGAAGAGAATAACGAAAGTTCTAAGAAACCAAAATCTAAATGAAAACACAAGTCCAGGCAGGCACTGAAAACCTAAAAAAAAAAAAAAAAACTGAAGAGGCCAATTGTTGGCAAGCATGTGGAACAGCAGGAACTCTTCAAGCTGCTGCTGGTGGCGGAGGCCAAGCCACTGTGC
The DNA here is from genome assembly GCF_000001405.40 of Homo sapiens. Lineage (NCBI taxonomy): Eukaryota > Metazoa > Chordata > Mammalia > Primates > Hominidae > Homo > Homo sapiens. The sequence continues at coordinate 63,063,969 of NC_000009.12, read as the reverse complement.
TCCCAGAACACAACACAGAAGCCTCCACACTGAAGCAGAGCACAGGTGCCCTGGAGTCTCCACCCCACCCAGGGATCCTCCAGCAGAAGTGGGTGTGCCCCTGCATACCTGCAAGTCCCATATGCAGACCTACTGTTCAGGGCTGTGGGATAACAGCCAAAAATAGGAAATCATTTTACTCATCAATGGAAAAATGGTGACACAGTCATATAATGGAACTCAACAATGACGATAAATCAATGTCTGCCATAGACAAGAACATGGATGTGTTCTGTAATACTGAACCAAAGAAGCCAGGCTAAATAGAATGTGCTGTATTTTATAGAAGTCAAAACCAGGCAGAACAAATCTACATCAGGAACTGGGAAAGTAGCTATTTTGTGGGTTGGGGCAGCAGTGCCTGGGAGAGGCCACAGGTCAAGGCTACTGCTTGGTCCAGGGCGTGGCAGCCTGGTGTGCTACAGTTCATCTAGATGCACACTTATGATTCGGGCACTCTTCTGTATGTACATTAACATTTCAATAAAAAGCTTATTAAAACATTAAAGCTTTCAGAAAAATCCACATTGCTTCAGTAGAAATTAGCACATTAACGTTTAAAAAATACATGTATATGGTGGGGGAAAAAAACAGTTCAAAAGAGTATCCAGTGAAAAGTTTAAGAGGGAGTGATGCCAGCTAAGGGCTGATCAATAGCCCCTTGCACTCATCCCCTGACAAAGACAGCCAAAGCAGCAAACAGCTATATTTTGATGAAAGTCACTAAAGGAGAGCCCCAGAGTGCATCAAGGAGTAGCAGAAATCCAGTAGAGCCCGGAAAACAGGACGGTCACATAAAGGAGGGAAGGAAACATCTGGCCCCCACCACCCATTCCCCCAGAGGGATCAGCCTGAAGCAGAGGGGATGTCTCCCTGCAGGAATAAGGAAGCAAGAGGGGCCCAGTAGCCCCAGCACTCCCCTCAGAGAAGGAACTGACATTGTGCCCCACCCCCATGGACCAGCTGCTGCTGCAACGTGCCCTCCTGGACCTGGACCACTTCGGGAGCATGTCCCACCCAGGGTGAGCAGCCACCGCACCCTTCTTCCATCCTCAGGCTTTGTTGCTCTATATCACACCCACCTAGTGGCCCACCACCCCTGAGCCGCTGTTACACTGTCTTAGGCCATTTAGTGTGGCTGTAACAGAATACTTGAGACTCGGGGTAACTTATTTTATAAAAAAGGTTTATTTGGCTCACCCTGCTTGTGTCTGAAAAGTCCGAGATCGGGCAGCACAACTGGTGAGGGTCTTGTGCTGCTTCATCTCATGGGGAAAGTGGAAGGCGAAACAGGTGTATGCAAGGGGCTCACATGGCAAGAGAGGAAACACAAGAGTCTAGGAAGCTGAACTCACTCTGATAACAATCCACTCCTGGTAACTAATCCAGTCCCATGAAAAGGCATTAATCTATTCATAAAGGATCTGCCCTGTGACTCAAATAACTCCCACTAGGCCCCACCTCCCACACCACCACATTTGAAATCAAATTTCAAATGGATGAAATTTCAAATGGCTGGTGGGAACAAATGATGTCCACATCACAGCACACACCCCACCTGCGGGGCCACGCTGCTGTGCCCCTCCCCTCCCAGCTGCCATTGCGCCCTGCCCCTTGGAGCCTGAGCTGACTTGGTGCCCTGCTTTCCAGGGAATCAGTGTCTTGGCCAGTCTAAGCAGTCACACCCCCCACTGCATGAGAGCTGAAGCACTGCCCTGCTTCACAGGGAATCAGTGTCTTGGCTGAGCTGAGCAGCCACACCTGCCAGGGATGAGCCAACATGGCACCCCCATATCCCAGGAAAACGGCATTGGCTGAACTGGGGTACCTTGCCCTTCAGGACAAACAACTGTAGAACCCTGCTTCCTTGGAACTGGACTAGCCCTGGAGAATCTGAGTTGCCCAGGCACCTGCCTCCCCAGGGAGAGAAGTAGTTGCTGTACTGGTCCCTGCCCCCGAGGGCTCAGTAGTGCTCCACCATTCTGGGGTCCTTGCTGATGCTGTGCCTGGCCTTTCAGAGACTGAGATGCTGCTGTGTCCCACCACTGCAGGGTCCAGAGTCACTATCATGTCACTCCCATGTCCAGAGTCACTCCCATCCCCTGGGAGTTTACTTCTTAAACTCTTCGCAAAAACAGAGTGAGAGGAAATAATTCCAAACACATTTTACCAGGCCAGTATCACCTTAATACCTAAGCCAAACCAAAACACACACACACACACACACACACACACACACACACACACGCACACACCGAACAAAAACTACAGGTCAACTTCTCCAATAAATTAAATACTGATGCAAACATCCTAAAAAAATTTTAGCAAATAGAATTCAACAACACATCAAAAACATTATACATCGTGTTTAAGTGGGATTTATCCCTGGCATGCAAGGCTGGTTTAAAATATGTAAATCAATCAATGTGATACATCACATTAACAAAATGAAAGATAAAATGACATGGTCAACTCAATTGATGCAGTAAAAGCATTTAACAAAGTTTAGCAACATTTCTTGATAAAACCTCTTAATAGTTTATGTATAGAAGGAAAGTTCCTCAACATAATAAACACCATTTATGAAAAACCCACAGTCTAATCATAGTTAGTGGGGAACAACTAAAGCTTTTCCACTAAGATTGAGTACAAGATAGGGATGGCCAGCCTCATCACTTTTATTCAACAGAGTACTTGCAAGAGCAATCAGATGAGAAAAAAAAGGCAACTAAATTAAAGAAGTAAAATTATCTCTATTTGCAGATGACAAGATCCTTTACGTAAAAAACTCCAAAGAGTCCACAAAAAACTGTGAGAGCTACTAAATCAATTCAGTTAAGCTGCAAGGTATAAACTCAACATATAAAAATCAGTTGCATTTCTGTATACAAATAACCTAGCTGATGAAGCAATCAAGAAAATAATCTCATTTACGATAGCATCAAAGAAAAACAAAAACTTAGGAATAAATTTAACCAAGAAGGTGAGAGATGTGTACACTTAAAAACCATAAAACATTGATGAAAGAAATTTAGACATGAACAAATGAAAAGACATCCTATGTTTATGGATCAGAAGAATTAATATTGTTAAAATGTTCACACTACCCAAAGCAAATATACAGATTTAACACAATCCTCATCAAAGTTCTGATGACATTCTTCACAGAACAGAATAAAACAATCCTGGCCAGGCACAGTGGCTCACGCCTGTAATTCCAGCACTTTGGGAGACTGCAGCGGGTGGATCATGAGGTCAGGAGTTGGAGACCAGCCCGGCCAACATAGTGAAACCCTGTCTCTACTAAAACTACAAAAATTGGCCGGGCATAGTGGCATGTGCCTGTAGTCCCAGCTACCTGGGAGGCTGAGGCAGAAGAATTGCTTGAATCCAGGAGGCAGAGGTTTTAGTGAGCCGAGATTATGCCACTGCACTCCAGCTTGGGTGACAGAGTGAGACTTCCCCTCAAAAAAAAAAAAAAAAAAAAAAAAAAAGAAAAGAAAAGAAAAAACAATCCTGAAACTCATATGGAACCACAAAAAACCCCAAACAGCCAACAGAAAACTGTGAAAGAAAAATTTGGAGGCATCACACCTCTTGATTTAAAATTGTATTACAAAGCTATAGTAATCAAAACAGTATGGTGCTGGCATAAAAACAAAAAAATAGACCAATGGAACATAACAGAGACCTTTGAAATAAATCCAAACATATACTGTCAACTAATTTTTGACAAGGGCAAACAAGACAACACAATGGTAAAAAAGATAGTATCTTCAATAATAGGATTTTCACATGCAAAAGAATAAAATTGGACCCTGATCATACACCATACACAAAAATCAACTCAAAACAGATACAAGACCAAAGACCCAAATAAGACCTGAAACCATAAAACTCCTAGAAGAAAACATAGGGGGAAAGCCTCTTGACATTGGCCTTAGCAATAATTTTTTGGATATCGCACCACAAGCCAGGCTACAAATGTAAACATAAACAAGGAGGACTGCATCAAACTAAAAAGCTTCTGCACAGCAAAGGAACAACCAACAAAATGAAAGGGGAACCTACAGACTGGAAGAAATATTTGCAAACCACATATCTGATAAAGTGTTAATATCCAAAAATCAGTAAAGAACTCTTACAACTTAAGAGCAGAAAAACAACCCAGTTGAAAAATGGGCCAAATAGGAAATGACCAATAGGAAATGGGGAGATGTACATTAAAATAATACAAAGTAGCAGACATGTAGGATGAACAAGTTAGAGATCTAGTGTACATCATGAGGGCAATAGTTAATAAAAATATATTGTCTTTGGGATTTTTGTTAAATAAGTAGATTTTAGCTGTTCCTGTCACACAAACAAAAATCTAACTATGTGAGATGGTAGCTATGTTAATTTGCTTCACTATAGTAACCAGTTTACTATCTATATGTATCCTTTAAGATCATGTTGTCAACCTCAAATATATAAAATAAAATTTATTTTAAAAAAGAAAAGTTTTCCTTCAATCCAGAAAGAACCACTATTACCATTTTTTGGTGTTCCATTCCAAAATATCCCACAAATATACAATTGTTCAATCAAATTTAACATTAGACTTTATACTTGAACATTCAAAGTATGTAAGAAATTATAGAAAAGTGTCTGTGTGACTCCCTGTCTGTAGAGCACAGGCTTCATCTCCACTAACACACACACGACCAGTACCTTATACAGAGAGTCCTTGTTTGTCTTTAGTCTGACACCATGGGTGAGCCTGAGTTGGCCCGTGGTCCACATTCCTGACCAGGTGTCTTTCTCACCCACTGGTTTCAACAAAGATGTTACTGGGTTATAGAAGGCTGGGATGGAAACAGGATACCAAGTTCACATGAAGACAATATCTGAAAAGAGGTAATTTACTTTAACGTTTTCAAAAGAAGATTCATATCCATATTGTGAAGAAACAAAGAACAAAATCTTCACTCCAAACTTCTCTACCTGGCTGCAAAGTATTTGAAGGGAAAGCTCGCTAAGGAAACTATTCTCATAGATCACAGAACTGTTACTGGGTGTGGCCAGGGGACTGCAGACACAAGGCAAATGGGCACACTGCATAAGACTGGGAGATCTAAGGCTGGAGCTGCTCAACTCTCTGGAGACCTGACTCCAGCCTCTCGTCACACTGGCTAGAAGTCAAGCATGAATGGTAACACCCTGCCCTGAACACTACTTAAGACACTCACCGCTCATCCGCAGCTTATCCTCAAAGCTATCCTGGAAAGCTCCTTCTGGAGCTCAGAGTGCTCTCTTGATCTGCCCCCTTATCCCACTGACAGTTCGAATCACAGCATCTTCAAATCTGGCCACTTCCAAGGCAGAATTAAACATTCCCTACAGGTATAGCAAGATAAAAACACACACACACACAAAATCATATACTTTATGCTTTACTTCTTACTTCAAACATACATCCGTGATTAAAGAACAAAAACAACTCAGTGAAGGGTGATAAAATAATCAAAATGTATTTGCCCCTGAAAGTGGAATTACTACCTCAAAAAGAATACAACTCTTTCATTTTCCCCAAAATAATCATGTGAGTTCATGGGCATGCTCATCACTGCTGTCTGTGTGGAAGAGAAGATCGAAGAGGGATTTACTGGACTGAATTGGCCTAGGAAGCCTTTGCTGGCATCTCTCAGACTGGACTGCAGCCCAGATCCTTTTACTCAGATGCATGCACTTAGAACATGAAAACAGTAAGATAAACGCCAGTGGTATTATTACCTTATATTGCAAGAACATTTTATGACTTCCTAACTCTGTTTTCAAAAGAAACATCCCCACTAATGAAATTGTCAATAAATGCTGCTCAAACCACCCTCCCAAAATACCGAAAAACAGTATATCCGTTTCTCTGTACCCTTGCCAAGTTGTCTGCAAATGCTTTGTCGATTTTTCTACTGAGTTAGACAAACTTGTGATTTTTTTCCCTTTCTTAACACCAATTTAAAAAGTAGGAAACAAAACCTAGTGGATAAAATGACATATTTTCAATATGAGTTCTGTGGCAGTCTCACATGGAAGTCAGGAGTAACAGCCTCAATTCCTAAATAGCTGTTTACCACTGCTTTTTTGAGCATATTTAAGTAATACAGAATATAAAGGAGCAAACAAAATATGAAGTTTATAAAAGATTTCAAACACTTTTCTAAAAATAAGAGGCCCACATTTTAGAGGTATTTCATTCCTTTTCTCAAACAATATGGACATTTATAAATATGAGAATATATAGATATACAGACCTTAATAAATGAAGTGTTCTTGAAAATTTTATATGGAAAACCAGTTAGCTTTAATTTCTTCACAATTTTTATGGATTTATCCAGATCAAGGACAACTCCTGTGGCAGCTATCCGAAAATCAGGCTAACAGGAGCCCCAAAATTTGAAAATAGGAATAATATTAGCAAGAGAAAAACTTCAATTCTATGTGACACAATAAATTACCAAAGTGAATTTTACTTACAATTAGTTAAGAAAAACAAGAGAGACCATCTGAACTTGCAACCCATTGGTTTGACAAAAGCAATCCAAAACTTTAAAGTTGGTAAGCCAAACTAACAAGGGTGACTTGAGGCCAGGCACAGTGGCTCATACCTGTAATCCCAGCACTTTGGGAGGCCAAGGCAGGTGGATCACCTGAGGTCAGAAGTTTGAAACCAGTCTGGCCAACATGGCGAAATTCCGTCTCTACTAAAAATACAAAAATTAGCTCGGCATGATGGTGCATACCTGTAATCCCAGCTACTCGGGAGGCCGAGGCAGGAGAACCGCTTAAACCCAGGAGGCAGAGGTTGCAGCGAGCCAAGATCGTGCCACTGCACTCCAGCCTGGAAGACAGAGTGTGACTCGGTCTCAAAAAAAAAAAAAAAAAAAAAGAAAGAAAAAAAAAGGCTACTTGAGTACTTTCCTGAGAGTGATTTCAGAGGAATGTAATTTTACTATAATGATTTATTTGGAACGAAATGGAAAAGAAAAATACAGTTGCAATGTTTAGGAAATTAAAATTTGGACCTCCAGGGAAGATTCCATCTGCTCATTATTCTGCTTTCTTCTCTGTTAAATGGGACCAGTAAACCCTGCCCTGCCTGACTGGTCAAATGAAAATGGAGTGAACAGACTGCTACCCCAGCACAGCTGCAGGGAGTCTTGTGTCTGGGTGGTCTCTGATGGCTCCTCATAACCTCATATAGTGCTTAGCACATGGTGAGCACTGCTTAAATACTTGCTTGGATAAATAAATGCAAAAGATGCATAAAAATAGGAAATGTACCATTATAATTCTTCCACCTCCCCTCCTCTAATCCCACACCCTACTGAAAAGGATGTACGAAGATTAAAAGCAAAGGGAAATTTACTTTATATTAATAAAAATGAGTAATTTTCAACTTAAAGTCTCATGTACATAATAACCCACATTCAGGATATATTTCTCAAACCAATCTGTAAAAGAAATCGTCCAAGATAGTTACCATTATGCCACTGACAGACTGTATTGCCAAGAAACCAGTTCCCTGTGGAGTGATAGGGTCTTAAAGGAAAAGGAAAAAAAGAAATATAGCAAACCAGAAATTTTAGATTCTAGTTTAACATACTGGATATGGACACTTAGATTTGGATATAGATGTACATATATACTCCAAACCACCTCCCCGCTCCCAGAAAAGAGAAACATCTTAGGAGTGGAATTTTATGAAAGGAAAAGCACAAAGCTAAAATAACACAGCCTGTAAAGTTTAATCTCGGCAATAGGCAAGTTATTGTAATCATATTTTACCCCAAAAGGCTGCTCCACAATGGATGTGCTGTGGCGTATACTTTAGAAGCCTTTGTCTTCCATTGTGGTCTTCGATATAATAGAGCAGGATGGTCTGAAACCTCCTCCACCCTACAGAAAATATGATTGGATCTTGGGACTTGAGGATTTTCTTATACCAGCAATGTTTCTTCAGACGCATCTGAAGGGGATGAGAGGGTAAGATGATTGATGGAGGGGAAATCCACAGAGCCTCAGGCACCAAATACGCAGCAAAGGGACCCACCTGCACGTGTCCAACATTTCCCTCACTGTTGCCCAAGCCACCCAGGATAATGGGGTAATGGGGGTCAAAGTTCTGCACAAATTCACAGGGAACATTTTCAATCTCAACGCGGACATACATCCCAGGTCGAAAACCCTCATACTGAACTCTGGCTTCATCATCTTGATCTTCAAATTCTACGTGATTCAGCTGTACATGATGGGGTGGGGGGGGGGTGGAAACCTGTATGCTGTTATTTGTAATAAACATAGGATTAACATGAACAAATGAGCAATTTCTAAGTAAAGGAACTGTGGACAGAATTATGTAGGCTTTATCCTATTAAAAATACTACACATTTGGCCGGGTACAGTGGCTCATGCCTGTAATCCAGCACTTTGGGAGGCCGAGGCGGGCAGATCACATGAGGTCAGGAGTTTGAAACCAGCCTCGCCAACATGGTGAAACCCTGTCTCTACTAAAAATACCAAAATCAGCTGGGCATGGTGGTGCGTGCCTGTAGTCCCAACTACTCAGGAGGCAGAGGTGAGAGAATCGCTTGAACCTGGGAGACGGAGGTTGCAGTGAGTCAAGATCGTGCCACTGCACTCCAGCCTGGGCAATAGAGCGAGATTCCATCTCAAAAAACAAAAAAACAAAAAAAAACCCTACACATTTTACCTCTACAGTCTGTTCAGAATATGTCCCAACCATTTTCTTCTCTCCTGCTCCAAGGGACAGCAAATGTAGATAACTGTGGAGCCCTGCGTGCTCAAACATTAGAAACATCCCCAGTCCACACTTTCTTTCCTTCCTCTCCAAATAATTCTTTCACACTTTTCCCTTGTCTTCAAACACCCACCACCACCCTCACCTTCACTCAGCTGATGGCTGTTTCCTGATTCACTCCAAAACCAAAAGAACCTCTACGGTCAACCCTATACCAGGGTTTCCTCCCATATCCAGCCTTATCAGAGCTCTGACCTGCCCCATAGAGGAGCTATGTGTGGCTATTTAAATTAAAATTAATTACAATTACATAATATTTAAAATGCAGTTCCTCAATCACACTAGTCACACTGGAAGTGGTCCGTATCAACCTGTGGCCAGTGTTACAATATTGGGAAGCACAGATGTGCATCTCCATGATCACAGAAAGTTCTACGGGCAGCTCAGGCACAGATGATTTGTCCATGCCTCTACTCAGGGCCACACATCACTTGCTCACTAGACACCATCCACTCTTCCTGGACTTTATTCCAACAGCTCTTCCCTCTGTTCTCTCTCTCATCTCAAAACCTTTTGATTCCACTTCTTCCACCAAAAACTGCTTCATTTCTCTGCTTCTCTCTGCAGCAAAACCCCACAAAAGTTTTCCACAGTTGCAGCCTCCAGTTCCTCTGCTCCCATTCTCCTACATCCATGAAAATTGGTGCTTGCCAAGATCGCTGAAGGCCTCCACGCTGAAGGACTCCTCCGGTGGTCAACTCTGCCTTTACCATAGTTAACACTGCAGCGGGATCTGAACAGTGTTTCGCCTCCGTGTACAACTGGACTCCTGCGTGCCTGCAGGCTCACACTGCTTCTCCCTCTCCCTCCTAGGCACTGCTCAGGCCTCACGGCCGCAATCGCCCCATCTCGCCCATGCCAGTCTTGCTCCTCCCAGTCACTCTGCACTCACTCCCCGGCCACCTCACAGAGTTAAGTGGCATCTACATGCTGAGGGCTATACATCTAAGTCCCTGGCCAGACCTGTCTCTCCAGACTTGACACTCCGCTTGTCTGCATGATACCCAGCCGAAACAAACATCATCTTCCCAAAACTGCATCTGCAGACAGTTTCCTATCTAACCTGCAACAACCCATCCTTCCAGGAACTTCCAGTCGCCATCCTCATTTCCTCACACACCCCACATTCAGTCCACCAGGAGATCCTACTGACCCAGCTTCCAAATAAACTCTATCCGGGTTTGACTCTTTGTTTCATCTCCACTGCCAGCCCTCTGGTTTGTGCCACCGGACTGATCTCTACCGGACTGATGTCTTGGCAGAGTGATCTGATTACCTGAATGTCTCTCCTCTGCTCAAAACCCTCCAAGGACTCCCATTTCAGAGTGAAACATTCAGTCTCTTCCAATGGCCCACAAGGCTCTAGGTAATTTTAAATTGTAAATGGTGTGAAGCAGAAACTTCAGAGTTAGCCTAGTCATGCCTTTCAAAGGTCAACACAGACTAGCAACCACTAAGCTAATGCCTAATCAGGAAACAGTCCTTTGACTAGATGAAGATCTAGGATGAAACTCCGTTTCACAAATCATATACCTAATCTGTTCCAGCTTACACAGGCACTCCTGGCCTCACTAACAAGACGCAACTCAGATGCTCACCATCAACTGTACACACATTTCTGTGTCTGTCTCCTTCAGAGTGAGATCACCGCCTCCAGCAACCTGCTCAGCACCCCCAGGCAGGAGGGCCACACCATCTCCCTTTATCTCCGCATCTGACCTTATACTCCACATGTCCTTCTGAACTCTGACCAGGATGAGTTTTCAGAGCTGGGGAGTGGAGCCTGGGCCTGCGCCTCTCCGCGCCTGCGCCGCCGCTGTGCGCCTGCGCCGCCGCTGTGCGCCCGCGCCGCCGCTCTCCGCCGCGCCGCCGCTCTCCGCCGCGCCGCCGCTCTCCGCCGCGCCGCCGCCGCCCGCCTCGCCGCCGCCGCCCGCCTCTCCGCCGCGCCGCCGCCGACCGCCTCTCCGCCGCGCCGCCGCCGCCCGCCTCGCCTCCGCCGCGCCGCCGCCGACCGCCTCTCCGCCGCGCCGCCGCCGACCGCCTCTCCGCCGCGCCGCCGCCGACCGCCTCTCCGCCGCTGTCCGCTTCTCCGCCACGCCGGCACCGGCGCTGTGTGCCTTTGCAAGGGCGGAGCTGCGTTCTCCTCGGCACAGACCCGGAGAGCATTGCGAGGGCGGAGCTGCGTTCTGCTCTGCATAGACCTTGGGGCACTGCCTCGCTTTGGGACAACTCAGGGCCGCATCGACGGTGAATAAAATCCTTCCTGTTTGCAGCCATGTTTGTGGTTGGTGGCAGCGATGGAGACTGCAGCCAGCCAGTGTAGAAAGGCATTGGGGTAAGTGCGCCATCCAGGCTGCACTGCTGGTGGCCTGGGACGGGTTGGGAGCCCTATCTCAGGCGTCACTGCCCGTCTTGGGTGGCTGGTTGGGTGTGCTATCTGGGGCTGTGCTGCCTGCCCGGGGGCGGGGGGGGGGGCGGTTTGGGGGCTCAAACCGGGGCTGCACTGCTTTGGCGGGGAGCCGGTTGGGGGCACTATCCCAGACTGTATTGCTGGCAACAGTGAGGTGGGTTAAGTGTGCTATCTGGGGCTGCACTGTGTGGCTGTGGGGGGGGGGTGGCGGTTTTGGGTTGAGGGCGCTATGGGCTGCTGTAATGCCCATGGTGCGGGGAGGCGGGGCGGTTAGGGTATGTTGGGTGTGCTATTGGGGGGGGGCGACACTGCTGGTGGTAGGGGGCAGGGTGGGTTGGGGGCCATATCAGGGGCTGCACTGATTGCTTTAGCTAGGATTTCTGGTACTATGTTAAACAACAGTGGTGACAGGGGGCATCCTTATCATGTTCCAGATCTTAGAGGAAAAGCTTTCCATTTTTCCCCATTCCATATGATTCTAGCTGTGGGTGTCTTTCCTGTAGTTTTTATTATGTTGCGGTATGTTTCTTCTGTGCCTGTTTCTTTGAGGATTTATAGCATGAAGGGATGTTGAATTTCATCACATGCTTTTTTGGTTTCAGTTGACATGATCATACGGTTTTTGTCGTTTATTTGGTTGATATGATGTATCACATTGTATGTTGAGTGACTCTTGCATTCCAGGGATACATCCCAGTTGATCATGATGAATTATCTTTTTAATGTATTACTGAATTTGATTCACTGGTATTCTGTTGAGGATTTTTGCATCAATATTAGAGATCCTGTCCTGTAGTTTTCTTCTTTGATGCTTTTATCTGATTTTCGTATCACAGTAATAATGGTCTCATAGAATAAGTTTGGAAGTATTCCCTCCTGTTTTTCAAAATAATTTGAGCAGGATTTGTACTAGGTCTTTAAATTGTTTGGTGTGAAGCCATCAGCAGTGAAGACATCATCAGTTCCTGGGCTTTTCTTTACTGGGAGACTTTTTCTGATGGCTTCAATCTCATTACTTGTTACCAATCTGTTCTGGTCTTGGATGTTTTCATTGTTTAACCTAAGTAGGTTGTATGCATCTAGGAATTTGCCAATTTCTACTAGGCTTTCCAATTTATTGGCATATAATAGCCAGTTATGATCCTTTGAATTTCTGAAGTATTAGTTGTAATGTCTCCTTTTTTTAATCTGTTGATTTTATTTATTTGAATCTTGTCTCTTTTCTTAGGCTGGTTAAAAGTTTGTCAATTTTGTTTAGCTTTCCAGAAAACCAACTTTTCGTTTAATCTTGTGTGTTTTTTATTTCAATTTTGTTTCTGCTACGATCTTATTTATTTTCTTATTTTCGGTTTAGTTTGTTCTTACTTTACTAGTTCTTTAAGATGTATTGTTTATTTGAAGTTTTTCTTTTGTTTGGATGGTAGGCACTTATAGCTGTAAATCTCTGCCTTTGTACTGCTTTCTGCGTAACAAGTTTTGGTATACTGTGTTTTCATTACCCTTTGTTTCATGAAATTTTTGAATTTCTGTCTTAGTATCTTCATTGACCTTTATTTATTCAGGTCATTTATTCAGGAGGGTAGTGTTTAACTTCCATGTGATTGTATTGTTTCCAAAATTACTTTTCTTATTGATACCTAGTTTTATTTCTTTGTAGTGAAAGAAGATTGCCACGGAGACAGAGAGCAGCATGGTCAGTGTGGTAGGAGCCGGCCATCAGCGAGAGCTGCTCCATGCCTGGCTGCTGGGAGCTAGAGCCTGCGGCCCACTGGCTTGCCTCACTGTAGTTGGTGGTGGCAGTGACAGAGACTGCAGCATGACCAGAGTGGTAGGACAGGGGCTATCCAGGGCTGCACCTTTCGCAGTGTGGGGTGGGTTGGGGGCGCTATCCAGGGTGTCATTGCCTGCATTAGGGGTACTGGTTGGTAGCACTGCACAGGGCTGCACTGCCCACAGCAGGGAGGGTGGGTTATGGGTGCTTTCTGGGGCTGCAATGCCCATGGAGGAGGACAGGTTAGGGCATATCGGGTATATGCTACTGGCGGCATTGGGGGACGGAGGTGGGGGGCGCTATTGAGGGCAGGACTAGCCGTGGAGCGGGGGCGAGTTCGGTGCTATCAGGGGCTGCACTGCTGGCGGCAGTCAACAGAGTTGGCATCCAAGGAAGGAGTGGTTCTCCTCTCCCTGACTCCACACTCCAGAGGGCGAACCACTCTTGGTCATACTGGAGTGCGGCAGGGCACGCAGCGTTTGCATGGGAATCCTGAGCATGGCAGAGCCCCCACACCCACCGTGGTTCCTAAGCCTGTGCACTCTGGGTCTGTGCCTCAGAGGCTGCCAGGCACCCCTGGGGACACCACGGGGAACAGGGCCCTGTGTGTGGAGGCATCCGGAACAGGAATTGGCACCTGGGTGCGGAGGGCTGGCTGGGTCTGAATTTTTCTGCTTCTCCTGTTCCCCGAGGAGTGCAGCCCCGGTGGGCCCAGTGGTTCCTGTGGAGTGGGGAGCTGGGTGCTGTGGTGTCTCCAGCACCCACCCCAGACCCCAGTTCCCAGCCAGCTTGGGCCAAAAGGAGAGGCTGGACTTTGGAGGGTGGGTGTGAGTGCCTTTGCTGAAACTGGCCCCTGCCACCCAGTGGCCGGCACGACAACTTGAGGCTCTAACGCTTCCACTCCTCACAACTTCCTCTAGGCTTTTCTGGCTTTGCCCGCCCAGCTGCTCCATGCCAGGAGGAGGAGGAGACACCTAGAGCCTGCAACACCACGGCTCACCTCGCTGCGGGTGGGTGGCAGTGACGGAGACTGCAGTGCGCCAGAGCGGTAGGAGAGTGGCCACGCTAGGAGGGCGGGCGGCTGCAGGCAGGGTTGGGAGTCAGGCTTACAGCGATGGACGGGCTGCAGCAGTGGCCAGGTGGTAGGAGCCTTGTAGGGAGGGCTGGTGCATTGGCAATGGGCCTGGCTTTGCCCTGTGCCTGCCGTGGATCTGGCCCTGTACTGCCCTGCCTTGCCCTGTACCTGCCCTACTGTTACCTGGACTCTCAGCCCTGTCCTGCTCTGGTCCCATCCTGACCCTGTCTTGGCCCCGTGCTACCCTGTCCCTGCCCTGGTCTTGCCCTGGCACTGGCCCTGCCCTGAACCTGCACTGGCCTGACCTTGGCTCTGGCCCTGGCTCTGGCCCTGCCCCTTGTCCTGACCCTGGTCCTGTCATGGCACTGGCCCTGCCAGTGGTCATGGTCCTGCTCCTGTTCTGGCCCTGACCTGGCCTTGGAAATGTCCTGGCTCTGCTTTGGCCCATCCCTGCCCTGGCCCCACCATGGGCCTTCCTGTTCTGCCCTCTCCTGGCACTGACCTGGCCCTGTCATGGCCCAGTGGTGCCATTGCCCTGCCTTACCCTGCGCTGGTTGTGCCTTGGCCCCGCTTGGTGCTGGCCGCTTCCTGGACCTGCCCTGGACCTGCCCTGACCCTGCCTTGGCTTTTGCCCTGCCCTCACTATGGCCTGGCCCTGGCCCTGGCCCTAGCCCTGGTCCTGCCATATCCCTGACCCTGCCCTTATCCAGGCCCTGCCCCTGCTGCTGCCCTGGCCCTGGCCTGGAACCTGGTCCTGTCAAGGACCTGCCCTGACTCTGCCATGGCCCTGGCCCTGCTCTGCCTTGTTCCTGGCCCTGACCCAGACCCAGACCCTTTCCTGGCTCTGCACTGGTCTTTCCCTGGCCCTGAGCTGGCAGTGGTCTGCCCCTGGTCTTGCCATCACCCTGCCCTGCTGTGCTCTGGATGTGTCATCACCCTGCCCTGGCTCTACTCTGCCTTTGACCCTGCCCTGGCCTTGCCTTGGCCCTCACCCTAGTCTTCGCTAGGCCCAGCACAGACCTGGCTCTGACCCTGGCCCTGGTCTTTGTCCTGCCATAGCTTTGGCCCTGAAGTGGACTTGGAGGTGTCCTGGCCCCGGTGTAACATGGCTCTGCATTGGCCTGTCTCTGCCCTGCCCCTACCATCGCCTTGCCCTGCTCTGCCCTGTCCCAGTACTGACCCGGCCACGCTATTTCCCCGCCCTACCCTGCCTTGGCTGTGCCCTGGCTCGGTTCTGGCCCTGGCCCCGGCCCTGCCCTGGACATGCTCTGACACTGCCTCAGCCTTGGCACTAGCCTGGCTCATTCTTGGCATCAGCCCTGCTCTCTCTGTGGACCGGCTCTTGTCCTGTCCTGCACTGGCCATACCATGCCTTGCCCTGCCCTGCCCTGACTCAGCCCTGACTCAGCCTTGGCCTTGGCATTGCCCCTGGTCCTGCCATATTTCTTGCCCTGTCCCTACCCTAGCCTTGGCCCTGACCCTTACCTTGCTCTGGCCCTGCCCTTGCCCTAATGCAGCCCCTGGCCCTGTCATGACCCTGCCCTGGACCTGTCCTGGCCCTGGCCCTTCCCTGCTTGAGACCTTGCCCTGGTTCTCCCATGGCCCTGACCCTGAAATGCCTGGCCCTACCCTGGCCTTGCCCTGCTCTGGCCCTTGCCCTGACTCTGGTCCTGTCACTGACCTAGCCCCAGCCCTGTTGCTGGTCTTACCATGGCCCAGACCCTGCCTTGGCCCTGCCCTGACACTGTCCTGGACCCTGGCTGTGCCAAGAACCTGCACTGTCCTTGCCCTTGTTTTGCTCCTGCCCCAAACCTGGTCCTGCCCAGGCCGTTTCTATGGCCCTGGCCCTGGCCCTGCCCGGGTCTTGGCACTGGCCTGGCCCTGCCCTGCCCTGGCCCTATGCTTTCCTGGCCCTGCCTTGGCCCTAGCCTGGCTTTGACCCTGCCCTGGCCCTACCTTGGCCTTCACCCTAGCCTTACCAGGGCACTGTGTTGGACCTGGCCATAGCACAGACCTGGTTGTGGCCCTGGCCCAGACCCTAGCCCTGCAGGTACCGGTCCTGGCCCAGCTCTGGGCCTGGCTTTGTCCCTAATTCTTAGATGACCCTGGCCCTGCCCCTGCCCTTGCCCTTGCCCTGGCACTGGCCTTGGACATGTCCGTGGTCCTAACCCTGGCCCTGCCCTGGAGCTGCCACTGTCTTGGCCCTGCCCTGGCTCTGGCCCTGCCCCGGCCCTGGCCCTGCCCCGGCCCCAGCCATAGACCTGCCCTGGTTGGTCGTGCCCTACCTTAACCCTGTGCTACCCTGGGCCTGCTCCACCCTGCCCTGGCCCTGCCCTCCCTTTGGCCCTGCCCTGACCCCGTCTTGGCCCTCACACTGGCCCTAGCACAGACCTGGTCCTATCTGTGGCCTTGGCCTGGCATTGACCCCTGCTCCTGACCCTGGTCCTGCCATGGCCCTGGCCCTGCCAATGACCCTGGCAGCCCTTACCCTGGCCCTGAACTGGCCCTGCCCTGGCCCTGAAGTGGATTTGCAGGTGTCTTGTCCATGGTTTAACCTGGTCTTACCATGGCCCTGTCCCTCCCCTGGCTCTGTCCTGGTCTTATGCTGACCCTGACCCAGACCTTGGCCCTGCCACAGCCTTGTCCTAGACCTGGCCATGGCCCTGCGTCTGCCCTGGACCGGCGCTGGCACTGGCATGGACCCTGGCCCTGGCCCTTCACTACTTAAGGCCATACCCTGGCCCAGCCCTGGCCCTAATTTGGCCTGGCTCTACCCTGGCATGCTATTCTGGCCCTAGCCCTGACCCTGTCCCTGTCCCTGTACTGGTCCTAGCCCCGTTGCTGGTCCTGCCATGGCCCTTGTCCTGACATTGCCCTTTCCTGGTTCTGGCCCTGGCCCTGTCCCAGCCCTGCTCTGGCCCTGGTCTGAACCCTGGCCCTGCAATAGACCTGCCTTGGTCCTGCCCAGACCCTGGCTCTGGCCCTACCTCTGCCCTGGCCATACCCTTGCCCTGGCCTGGACCCCGGTCCTGGTCCTTGTCCTGCCCCAGCCGTGGCCCTGGCCCTGCCCTGCCTGTGCCCTGTTCTATCCTGGGCTGGCCCTGCCATGGCCTGGTCTTGCCATTGCCCTGCCCTAGCTTGCCCTGCTTGTGCCCTAGATCTGCCCCGCTTGTGCCCTAGATCTGCCCCGGCCTTTGCCCCATCTTGGTTCTAGCCTTGACTCAGCCCTGGACCTTCCCTGACCTTGCCTCAGCCCTGGCACTACCCTGGCATTGCCTTGGCATTTGCCCTACTCTCTCTATGGCCTGGCTGTGGTCCTGCCCTGCTCTGCTCTTGTTCTGTCCTGGCACAGCCCTGGCCCTGGCCCTGGCCCTGGCCCTGCCGTATCACTGGCTCTGGTCCTGCCCTTATGCAGACCTGACCCTGCCACTGCCTTGGCTTTGGCCTGGACCTTGGCCATACAGTGACCCTGCCATGACATTTTCCTGGTCCTGGCCTGGAACCTGGCCCTGCCAAGGACTCGCCCTGGCTCTGTCATGGCCCTGGCCCGTTCCTGGATTTGGATGTGTCCTGTCCCTTATTTGCCCCGGCCCTTCCCTGGCTCTGCCATACCCCTTCTCTGGGGTAGGGCCAGGGTCAGGACCAGACCAGGGCAGGGTCAGGACCAGGGTAGGGCCATGTTAAGGCCTGAAGATGGGAAGGGCCAGGGCAGCGGCTGGATCAGGGAAGGGTCAGGGCCAGGGATGTAGTAGGACTAGGGGCAGAGCCGGCACTAGGGCTGAGCCAGGGCAGAGCAGGAGAGATTACTTTAGGCTATTACTAAAATTTTTATTTTAGATTTTTAAGATAACTATAGTAGTAGTAATGTCTATACTATGTTGTTTGTAATAGTAATAATACTTGCAGTAATCACTAAATTTTAACTAATACTATCTTTGCTTCCAGTAGTGTTCTATGAGTATAATTTTATCAACATGTAAATATGTGAGGCATTGATTCTCATAATAATTCTATATGCTAGGTACTTAAAGCATCCCCATTTTCCAAATGTAGGAAACAGGCAAAAAGAAGGTAAATACTTGGCCAGATTACTCCTGTAATCCCAGCACTTTGGGAGGCCAAGGCAGGCAGATGGCTTGAGCTCAGGAGTTTGGAACCAGCCTGGGCAACATTGTGAAACCCCATCTCTACTAAAAATGCACAAAAAGAACTAATTTAAGTTTCTTGTAGGATTCTGGTTATAAAACACTGGTCAAACACACAGGGCATGGATAGGGCAGGGCCAGGGACAAGGTCAGGCCAGGAAGGGGCCAGGGCCAAGGCAGGGCCAGAGCTGGACTTGGAGGTGTCCTGGTCTGATTTGCCCTGCCCCAACGTTGGCCCAGCCCTGCTCTGGCACGTCCTGTCATGCCCTGTCCCTGGCCTGAGCATTGGCCCTGGCCCTGTCCTGCTTCTGGCCCTGCCCCGGAGTTGACCAGGCACTGCCATGGCCCAGTCCTGCATTGCCCTGCCCTCCTCTGCCCTGGTGCTACCATGGCCCTGCTTGGGCCCTAGCTCTGCCTCGACTCTGGACCTGCCCTGACTCTGCTCAGCCCTGGATCTACCCTGACTCTGCCTTGGTGTTGCCCTCCCATCTCTATGGCCTGGCTCTGGCCATGCCTTGCACAGACCATGCTCTGCCCTGCGTGCCCCAGCCTGGGCCCAGCCCTCATCCTACCATATTCCTGACCCCAGCCATACCCTTGTTCTCGCCATGACCCTGCCGTGGCCCTCTCCTGGCCCTTCCTTGATCCTGCCCTGCCCTTCCATGCCCTGGCCTTGCCCTCACCCTGCATTGGCCCTGCACTGGTCCTGCCCTGCCCTGGCACTGCCTTGGCCCCGGCCCTGCCTTCTTCCTGGCCTTGCCTTTGCCCTGCCCTGGCCTGACCCCAGGCCTACTGAGTCCATGAGATGGCCCTGGACCTGCCTTGCCATCCTCTGTCCTGGCCCTATATTGTCCCCACCATGCTCTGGTCCAGCGCTTGCCCTAGCCCTGTTGCTAGTCCTGCCACTGCTATGGCCCTGCTCTGTTTTTGGCCGTGCCCTGTGCTACCCTAGCCCTGCCCTGCCTTGGCCTTGGCCCTACCATGGCCTTCTCTTACCCTGGCCTGGCCCTACCCTGGCCTTTTCTACCCTGGCCTTGCCCTTCCCTGGTCTTGCCCTGCCCTGGCCTTGGCTTTGCCTTATCCTGGTCCTGGTTCTGCCCTGACCCTGGCCTTGCTCTGGATCCTCTCTGGTTCTGCTTTCTCCCTGGCCCTGCCCTTGCTCTGGCCCTGTCCCTGGACCAGCCTTGACCCTGACCCTGACAATCCCCAGGTCTGACACTGGCCATGCTTGGCCCTGGCCCCTCCTTTTGGCCCTGCCTTAGCCTTGTGCTATCTTAGTCCTGCCCTGGCCCTGAACTCGCCCTGGTCCTACCCTCACCCTACACTGGCCCTGCCCTATCCTGGCCTTGCCCTGCCCTGGCCCTGCCTTTGGCCTGCTCTGGCTCTGGTTCTGCCCTGGACTTGCCCTTGCCCTGGACCCTCCCTGGCCATGTTTTTCCCATGGTCCTTCTCTGGCCTTGCCCTTGCCCTGTCCCCTTTCTGGTCCTGCCATGTTTCTGGCCCTGCCCTGTCCATGTCCTGGACCTGACTCTGGCCCTGGACCTCCCTGTCCCTGCCCTGCCATACCCTGGCCCGTTCCTTGCTCTACACTGACCCTGCCCTGCCTTGGCCCTGTGCCACCCTAGCCCTGCCCTGGCCTTCTGCTGACCCTGATCCTGCCATGGCCCTGGCCCTGCCATGTCCCTGCCCTGGCCCTGGTTCTTCCCTGCATCTGGACCTGGCCTTGGTCCTCTCATGTCCCTGGCTGTGACCCTGCCCCTGGTTTTTCTCTGGCCATGACCCTGCCCCAGTTCTGTCCTATCCCTGGCCCTGTCTCAGTTCTGTCCTAGCCCTGGCCTTTCACAGTACTTTATGCTTAGTAAGGGCTCCATGGTGTCTGTGAGTTGAATGTTGTGTTCATAGTATCTGCCAAAACAGAAAGAAAAAAGTAAAATATTTTGATAAGAAGTTAAAGCTTTGTATATAATATGCCTTGAATTGTAAGTGCCTGTTATTAGTTGTATTACATATGGGTCATGGCTTTGTACACGTAACTCCAAACCATTGATACTGTTAAAAGGATATATGAATATATGAAAGAATGTATAAACGTAAGAATGTATCAGTATCTAATGACCTTTCCAAATTAATTTTTATTTTTAGCTCTATTAGATTTTTCTCAGTGTAACAAATGTTTATTCCTATGTAATTAAGGGTGTGTTTCCTGTACAGAATATTCATAATACCTAATTGAAAATTATATGATACAAAAATATAATACTATTTTTAGGCCAAGCATGGTGGCTCATACCTGTAATCCCAACATTTTGAGAGGCCAAGTTTGGAGAATCATTTGAGTCCAGGAGTTGACCAGCCTGGGCAACATAGTGAGACCTTGTCTTTATTAAATAAATAAATAAATAAATAAATAAATAAATAGGTTGGGCACTGTGGCTCATATCTGTCCTCCCAGCATTTTGGGTTGCCAATGCAGGAGGATTGCTTGAGCCCAGGAGTTTGAGACCAGCCTGGGCAGAATAGCAAGACTCCATCTCTGCAAATAATAAAATATTAACCAGGTGTGGTGGTGCGCACCTGGGGTCCCAGCTACCTGGGAGGCTAAGGTGGGAGGTTTGCTTGAGGCTTCAGTGAACTGTGAATGCACCATGCACCACTGCATTCCAGCCTAGGCCACAGAACAGGACCTTGTTTATAAATAAAGAAATAAGTAAAAATATAAATAAAAAGTAAAAATAACTATAAGTAAATATAAATATAAAAATGCATACATGAAAAGAAACAATTTTTAAATTTAACATCACTGAGGGCATCCTATCCATTTCATTTCATGATTCCATTACATCATTTCACTTAGATGAAATGATGACTTGAGATGAAATGATGAGATGAAATGACGAAATGATGAGATGAGATGATGAGATGAAATTTTGAGATGAAATGGTGAGTAGAAATGATGAGATGAAATGATGAGACGAAATGACAAAATTGAAAAGAAATTGAAAGGAGAGGAGATGAGATAAAATGAGATGAAATGAGATGATGGATGAAATGAGATGAAACGAGATGAAATGAAATAATGAAATGATATGAAATAATGAAATTGAAATGAGATGATATGAGATGAAATAATGAGATAAAATGATGAGATGAGATGAACGATGAGATGAAATGATGAAATGAAATGAGATGAAAAATGATGAGATGAAAAATGAGATGAAATGAAATAATGAAATGAGATGAAATGAAATGAAATAATGAAAGGAAATTATGAAATGTAATGATGAAATTGAAATGAGATGAGTTGAAATGATGAGATGTAATGGTGAAATGAAATGAGGAAATGAGATGAGATGAAATGAGATGAAATAATGAGATGAAATGAGATAATGAGATGAGATGAAATCATGAGATGAAATGATGAAATGAAATGATGGATGAAATTATGAGATGAAAGATGAAATGTAATGAGATGAAATGAAATGACATAATGAAATGAAATAATGAAATGAGATGAAATAAAATAATGAAATGATGAAATAATGAAATGAAAATGAAATGGAAATGATGAGATGAGAAGAAATGATGAGATGAAATGATGAAATGATGAGATGAGATAAAATGAGATGAAATGATGAGATGAGATGAAATATGATGAGATGAAATGACATAATGAATGAAATGATGAAATGGAATAATGAAATGGAAATGATGAGCTGAGATGCAATGAGTTGAAATGAGATGAAATGATGAAATGAGATGAAATGATGAGATGAGATGTGATGAAATGATGACATGAAATGATGACATAAAATGAGATGAAATGAGATGTAATGATGGAATGAGATGAGATGAAATGAGATGAAATAGATGAGATAAAATGATGATATGAAATGATGAGATGAATGATGAGATGAGATGAATGATGAAATGAAATGATGAGATGAGATGATGAAATGAAATGGTGAGATGAAATGATGAGATGAAATGAAATAGTGAAATGAAATTGAAATAAAATCGAAATGAGATGAAATGATGAGATGATGAAATAAAATGATGAAATGATGAGATGTGATGAGATGAAATGATGAGATGAAATGATGAGATGAGATGACATGAAATAATGAAATGAAATTGAAATGAGATAAGATACGAGATGAGATGAAATGATGAGATGAAATGATGAAATGATGAGATAAGATGAAAAGGGTTGAGATGATGAGATGAAATGAGATGAAAAGATGAAATGATGAGATGAAATGAAATGATGAGATGAAATGAGGTGAAATGAAATTAGATGAAATGTAATGAGATGAAATGAAATGACATAATGAAATGAAATAATGAAATGAGATGAAATAAAATAATGAAATGATGAAATAATGAAATGAAAATGAAATGGAAATGAGATGAGAAGAAATGATGAGATGAAATGATGAGATAAAATGAGATGAAATGATGAGATGAGATGAAATATGATGAGATGAAATGACATAATGAATGAAATGATGAAATGGAATAATGAAATGGAAATGATGAGCTGAGATGCAATGAGTTGAAATGAGATGAAATGATGAAATGATGAGATGAGATGTGATGAAATGACATGAAATGATGACATAAAATGAGATGAAATGAGATGTAATGATGGAATGAGATGAGATGAGATGAAATGATAGATGAGATAAAATGATGATATGAAATGATGAGATGAATGATGAGATGATGAGATGAATGATGAAATGAAATGATGAGATGATGAAATGGTGAGATGAAATGATGAGATGAAATAGTGAAATTGAAATAAAATCGAAATGAGATGAAATGATGAGATGATGAAATAAAATGATGAAATGATGAGATGTGATGAGATGAAATGATGACATGAAATGATGAGATGAGATGAGATGACATGAAATAATGAAATGAAATTGAAATGAAATAAGATACGAGATGAGATGAAATGATGAGATGAAATGATGAAATGATGAGATAAGATGAAAAGGGTTGAGATGATGAGATGAAATGAGATGAAAAGATGAAATGAGATGAAATGAAATGATGAGATGAAATGAGGTGAAATGAAATTAGAGGAAATGTAATGAGATGAAATGAAATGACATGAAATGAAATAATGAAATGAGATGAAATAAAATAATGAAATGATGAAATAATGAAATGAAAATGAAATGGAAATGATGAGATGAGAAGAAATGATGAGATGAAATGATGAAATGATGAGATGAGATAAAATGAGATGAAATGATGAGATGAGATGAAATATGAGATGAAATGACATAATGAATGAAATGATGAAATGGAATAATGAAATGGAAATGATGAGCTGAGATGCAATGAGTTGAAATGAGATGAAATGATGAAATGATGAGATGAAATGATGAGATGAGATGTGATGAAATGACATGAAATGATGACATAAAATGAGATGAAATGAGATGTAATGATGGAATGAGATGAGATGGAATGAGATGAGATGAAATGAGATGAAATGATAGATGAGATAAAATGATATGAAATGATGAGATGAATGATGAGATGATGAGATGAATGATGAAATGAAATGATGAGATGAGATGATGAAATGAAATGGTGAGATGAAATGATGAGATGAAATGAAATAGTGAAATGAAATTGAAATCGAAATGAGAGATGAAATGATGAGATGATGAAATAAAATGATGAAATGATGAGATGTGATGAGATGAAATGATGAGATGAAATGATGAGATGAGATGAGATGACATGAAATAATGAAATGAAATTGAAATGAGATAAGATACGAGATGAGATGAAATGATGAGATGAAATGATGAAATGATGAGATAAGATGAAAAGAGTTGATGAGATGATGAGATGAAATGAGATGAAAAGATGAAATGATGAGATGAAATGAAATGATGAGATGAAATGAGGTGAAATGAAATTAGATGAAATGTAATGAGATGAAATGAAATGACATAATGAAATGAAATAATGAAATGAGATGAAATAAAATAATGAAATGATGAAATAATGAAAATGAAATGGAAATGATGAGATAAGAAATGATGAGATGAAATGATGAAATGAGATGAGATAAAATGAGATGAAATGATGAGATGAGATGAAATATGAGATGAAATGACATAATGAATGAAATGATGAAACGGAATAATGAAATGGAAATGATGAGCTGAGATGCAATGAGTTGAAATGAGATGAAATGATGAAATGATGAGATGAAATGATGAGATGAGATGTGATGAAATGATGACATGAAATGATGACATAAAATGAGATGAAATGAGATGTAATGATGGAATGAGATGAGATGAAATGAGATGAAATGATAGATGAGATAAAATGATGATATGAAATGAGATGAATGATGAGATGATGAGATGAATGATGAAATGAAATGATGAGATGAGATGATGAAATGAAATGGTGAGATGAAATGATGAGATGAAATGAAATAGTGAAATGAAATTGAAATAAAATCGAGATGAGATGAAATGATGAGATGATGAAATAAAATGATGAAATGATGAGGTGATGAGATGAAATGATGAGATGAAATGATGAGATGAGATGAGATGACATGAAATAATGAAACGAAATTGAAATGAGATAAGATACGAGATGAGATGAAATGATGAGATGAAATGAAATGATGAGATAAGATGAAAAGAGTTGATGAGATGATGAGATGAAATGAGATGAAAAGATGAAATGATGAGATGAAATGAAATGATGAGATGAAATGAGGTGAAATGAAATTAGATGAAATGTAATGAGATGAAATGAAATGACAATGAAATGAAAAAATGAAATAATGAAATGAGGTGAAATTAAATGAGATGATGAAATTAAATGATGAAATGAAATAATGAAATGGAAATGAGATGAAATGAGATGAATGATGAGATGAAATGATGAGATGCAATGATGAGATGAAATGATAAGATGAGATGAGATGTAATGATGAGAGGAAATGAGATGTAATGAAATGAGATGAAATGAATGAGATGAAATGAAATAATGAAAGGAAATTGAATTGAGATATGAGATGAAATGAGATAAAATGAGATGAAATAAATGATGAGATGAAATGATGAAATGCTGAGGTGAGATGAAACGATGAGATGAAATGAAAGGATGAGATGAAATGATGAGGTGAGATGAGATGAAATGAGATGAAACGAGATGAAATGATGAAATGAGATGAGATGAGAAGAAATGATTTGATGCAATGAGATGAGATAAAGTGATGAGATGAAATGAAATGAAGTGAAATGAAATAATGAAATGAAATTGAAATGAGATGAGATGAAATGAGATAAAATGAGATGAAATGAGAAGAAATGAGATGAAATGATGAAATGAGATGATGAGATGAAAAATGATGAGATGAATTGAAATGAAATGAAATAATGAAATAATGAAGTGAAATGAAATGATGAATTGATATTGAAATGAAATTGAAAGATGAGATGAAATGATGAGATGAAATGAAATGTTGAAATGATGAAGAGATGTGACATGAAATGAGCTGAAATGAGATGAAATGAAATGAGATTAAATGATGAGATGAAAAATGATGAGATGAAAAATGATGAGATGAAATGATGAGATGAGATGAGATGAATTGAGATGAGATGAGATGAAATAATGAAATTAGGTGAAATAATGAAATGAGATGAAATAACGAAATAAAATTGAAATGAGATGAGAGGAAATGAGATGAAATGTTGAAAAGAAAGGAGGAAATGATGAGGTGAGATGAAATGATGAGATGAAATTGAGATGAAATGTGATGAAAAATGATACGAAAAATGATATAAAAATATGACATGAAATGAAATGAGATGATATGAAATGACATAATGAAATAAATGAAATTACATGAAATGAAATAGTGAAATGAAATGATGAAATAATGAAAATGAAATGGAAATGAGATGAGATGAGATTTGATGAAATGATGAGATGAAATGATGAGATGATATGAAATGATGAGATGAGATGGGATAAGATGAAATGAGATGAAATGATGAGGTGAAGTGATGCACTGTCACGTGTGTATCTTTTTCCCAACCAACAAAAATTATAATTCATTAATTTTATTATTTAAGAATATTCTTAAGAGTTGAAGGAAAAATAATATCTGTACATTATGGGTTACAATTAAGTATAAATAATACATAAATATATTAAAACTTACAAAGAATATGTTTCGGAATCGAATATACCATGCTTCTGTGATGACAGTTATTTCATGCTGGTTGTCACAATTTTACATGAAAAACTAATGAAACAATGTTTTTAACTGTTTCTAAAAATAACAGTTTCCAAAACAGTTTTACATTCAAAATATGAAAAAGATGTCTTTGTGTTCCTTAATCTGATGAGATTTTCACACTCTGCACATGATAATTGTTAGATTTTTATTGTGTTGATAAATTGTATATCAAATAAAAAATGTTATTACCTCTTAAATTAGGATTTTTAGGTGATACAGGCAGAAAGGAAGGCAAGTTTTTATAACTTTGTCTAAATGAACTTTCTAAATGCCTGAGTATTAAAAGATAGCATGTCTATAAATGACAATGTATATATTACTGTATGACCTAGGACCAATCAAAACCGTTACCTCTGATAACATTATATTGTGCCCAGTATAAAATAGATATAATAATACCTCAAACTTAAATCCAGGCATTGTCATTGAATATGTTAAGAATATGCAGCAAAGGTGCTTTTAAAAATACAAGCTAGTGATTGTACTAAATTTGTAAATCACATAGGATAGTGGGTCATTTTAAGAATATTATTTCAATCTATAAACGTGGATGTCTTTGCTTTTTTATGTTTTCTTTAATTTCTTTCATTAATATTTGTCATTTTTGTTGTCGAAATCTTTTACTTGGTTAAATTTATTTCTAAGTACATTTTTGTAGCTATTGTAAAAGGAATTGCTTTCTTAATTTCTTGTTTCAGCTAGTTTACTATCAATATATAGAAATGCTACTGATTTTTGTATGTTGATTTATATCCTGCAACTTTATTAATTTCATGTATCACCCTGAGAAGCTTTTGGTAGAGTCTTATTTTTTTCCATGTATAAGATCACGTTGTCTTTAAACAAGGACAATTTGACTGTCTCCTTTCCAATTCAGATGTCCTTTATTTCTTTCTCTCACCTAATTGTCCTGGCTAAGACTTTCACTATGTGAAATATGATTGGTGAGAATAGGCATCCTTTTCTTGTTCCAGTAAAATCTTTTTCTTGTTCACAGTAAAATCTTTCACCTTTTCCACACTCAGTATGATCTTAGCTGTAGATTTGTCCTTTATGTCCTTTGTGTTAAGGCATATATTTTCTATACTAAATTGTTGAGAAGTTTTTTGTCATGTAAGAATATTTAATTTTGCCAAACGCTTTTATTGTGTTTATTAATTTAATCATATGGTTTTCAGTATATATCCAAAGGAAAGAAAATCAGTATATCAAAGAGTTACCTGCACCCCCATGTTTATTACAGCACTATTCACAATAGCCAAGATATGGAATCAACAAAAGTGTCCATCAACAGATGAATGGATAAAGAAATGTGACATACATATATAATGGAATATTATTTAGTCATAATAAAGAACAAAATCCTGTTGTTTGTGGCAACAAGAATGCAAGTGGAGGGCATTATGTTAGGTGAAATAAGCCTGGCATAGAAATATAAACACCACATAACTACGTGTTCTCACTTATGTATGGAAGCTAAAATTTTTAATCTCGTAGAAGTAGATAGTAGAGTTTTGGTTACCATATCCTGGAAAGAGTAGGAGAAAGAAGAGTATAAGAAAAATGTGCTTAATACATACAAAATTACAGCTGGAGAGAAGGAAGAAGTTCTAGTTCTCTACAGCACTGTTGGGTGACTGTAGTTAATGGGAATTTATTGTGTGTTTTCAAATAACTAAAAGAAAAGATTTTGAATATTCTCACTGCAAAGAAATAATACATGATTTAGGTAATGGATATGATAATGACTCTGACTTGATCTTTACGCATTGCATAAATATATCAAAATATCACTCTGTACCCCATAACATGTACATTTATTGTATGTCAATTAAAGTAAATTTAAAAGAGAAAAAATGAGGTAAAGGTAAATGTACAGAATTTAATTACTTTTTCTTCTATAAAACCCGAGTCAGTACCAAGAAGAGTCAATTTATTAGTTTTCTAAAATAAAAAAAATCAAAATCACCAAAAAAGAGCAATATCCAAGAAAACATTGAAAAGGAAACACAACATTTAGTAAGAATAGAAAACTTGGGCACTGTATCACCCTGTTCCTAGATACCGATTTACTGATGGCCATTTAAATAGAATTTTATTCTATCTAATTCATTTATACTCCCAGAGTTTGAAATTACATTTTACCTACAATAAATGAGATAACACTTGTAAATTATATGGTACTCTGCCTAACACACGTTAATAACTCAATAGATGTTAGCAATAAACTTTTAGTATAGTAGTCAAAGTATTAATTTCTCACATTGCAATTTCCTTCAAAGACATAAATACAACCTTTCTAATGACTCCTTGTTCATCAAGATACCTCTTCAAATTATTCTATTTGTTTCATTCAGTATATTATCTGTGTATACCGATATTACACTCTTTTCTTTTCTTGAGATGGAATCTCATTCTGTTACTGATGCTGGAGTGAGGTGGCATGATCTCGGTTCACTGCAACCTCCACCTCCCAGGTTCAAGCGATTCTCCTGTCTCAGCCCCCCAAGTAGCTAGGACTACAGGTGCACACCACCATGCCTGGCTAATTTTTGTATTTTTAGTACAGTCAGAGTTTCACCCTGTTGTCCAGGCCGGACTCGAACTCCTGACCTCAGGTGATCCACCCACCATGGCCTCCCAAAGTGCTGGGATTACAGGCATAAGCCACCGCACCCAGCCTGATATTGCACTCTTGGATTTTGAACACTGAATATCTTTTTGAAAGATTACACCTCTTTACCTCTTCGTGCTTCAGAAATTATTTTCCTTCAAGTGTTCTAAGAGGCTAATGAAGAATGAAGTCATGTTTTATCACTTTTGTCCTTAAAGATTTCAGACATGCTGAAACTGATTGAAGTATCATTTGCTACCAGATAGATTAGTTATCTCTAGTTGTAGGAGTGGATACATCTTTAATGGTATATTTTGGTTTATTGTCTTATTTTTGATGTAGTATTCTATCAATAATTTATTAAACCTGGCATCCTTGAGTGAGCATGGATTTTTCAACTTTGGTGTTATATTGTGTTTGCTTTTAAAAACTGCTTTTGAGGCCAGGTATGGTGGCTCTTGCCCATACCCAGCACTCTGGGAGGCCAAGGTGGGCGGATTACCTCAGGTCAGGAGTTCAAGACCAGCCTGGTCAACATGGCAAAACCATGTCTCTACTAAAAACACAAAATTAGCCAGGCATGGTGGTGCATGCTTGTAGTCCTAACCACTCGAGAGGCTGAGGCAAGAGAATCACCTGAACCTGGGAGGCAAAATTTGCTAGGTTGCTGTGAGCCAAATTCGCATCATTGCCCTCCAGCCTGGGTGAAAAGAGCAAAACTCTGTCTCAAAATAAAAAAAAAAAAAACGACCAAAAACTGCTTTTGAATGGAGTTGTACATACAATTTTGATGAAAAAAATTATCAAGTGCATAAGTTCATAATAGAAAAACCAATAATACTCCAGGCACAAGTTAGTACTAAAAAAATTATGTTGAATATGCTCTAATACAACATGCTTTTTCCCTTCATGAACAATTTGTGTTTTACTGAGAAGAGTCATTGTTTATGGTAGACATTAGACTACAGATGAATATGCACTTTAAACACTCTTAGTTGCTTTCTTAATTTTATATCTGCTGCTTTATGCTTCTGTTTATTTTCATTCTTTCCAATGTCCACATTCTAGTAAATTTGAATATTTTAATCCAAGTTTATATACTATTTAATATTGCTTGTATAGTTTAGTATTGTTAAGACTCAAAAAGGTTTACAGAAAGAAGAAAAAGATCAACATGTTATTAATCATTTAAAGATCATTTTGAAATCTTTGACCTTTATATTTTAATGAATAAAATATTAGTAGTTATTAGTATAAAATAATTTATGTCTTTTGGACTTAGCATCCAGTATTTCTTTTTTAATAAAGAAAATAATTATTCTCTTGCAATATACTATGTTTACCTGGGTTTTGAAAAGTGATGTTTCCTAATATGAGAAAGCCATTTACATTTTTAAATCTACAAAGGCAAATGGAATGGTACTAAATTATTTATATAATAATGTTTAGATGGTGGCCCTTATAACATTCTTTCTATACTTCCTACAGAGTTGGGGATATGCAATCCTGGAATATTTCTGGGAGCTAATCCTTTAGCTTGATGAACGAAACAAGACTTTTAAATAAAATTAAACTTTCAAATTATCCAGGTAATGGGCCTGTCTTTTAATTCAATGGATATGGAGCATAATGAATTATCCCCTGTTCATTGGGTAATAAGTTCTCATTCTTAATTTATAATACTCAAAATATCCTTTAATTTTTAATTTTTGATAGTCATATCATTATCCCTAGGTATTTTAGCTTCTATCTTAAATTCTAAAATAATTTTGAGACAGGAGAAAGTATTCTTTATTACTATATGTATTAAACATCATGGTTTTCAAATTTAACTGCAAATGTATCTTTTCATTGCTTCTTGGTGACGCCCTTCACCCTATCCATATTGTCACTACCAAGTGGTGATTACTTTTCAGGTTCACATACTTATTCTTTAGAAAAATCTTCTCTGTGCCTTATAAAGAATATGATTGTTGGCATTGAAAAGCCAGTGAAATATACATTATTAGCCTGTTGCCTAACTCATTTATTTAAGAAACTACACTAATTACCCACATACTTATGTTTTTATTTACTCATTATTTCTGGAGAAAACAAATACTGCTAACATGATATTTGTAAGAGAGAAAAAAGTCTTTTCTTGAAAAGTGCTGTCATTGTAGTACTAACTTATAGTATCAACTTCTTTATCAACTCCTTATACACTTTTTATTCTGAGAGAAATAAAAAAGCTAAAAGTGAAATGACTTTGTAACTCTCCATATTATAAGCACCCATCTTGGTAATTTAGGGTCTTTATAGTTAGGGTAAGTTGTGTCATACCGAGGTTACAAAATAAAAAGTATTTTGTCTCTTTGGGCCTTTCCTTATTCAGTAATACTGTCAGTTTGGCTTTTTTTGTAGGTCAACTTATTGAACTCAGTATTCTGAAATAATGTGTTTACTATCTTTTGATAAGCATTTAAAATATTAGATTTATTGTTACTCGTCTGCCTTCATTGGGCTGGAAGAATAATTGTTTCACTCCACAAAAGCCAAGTTGCAGAGAAAAACACATAGACATTCAACTGCAAAGCAGAGAAACTTGACTATTTTCTGCAATTTTAAAGTGTATATTGAATAAAACCATCTTTTTATTTTCTTTTTTGCTCACTGGCAACTATTAACAACATCAAGTGCGTTATTATAATGTTATCTAGTTAAAAATCTCAAAAAGTTTTCATAATTACCATTTAAAAATATATAAATAAGTGACCTAATGTTAATTTTTATTGTCTGAGACCATGTCTGTTATTTCACTCTTTAAATTCAGTTAGTAATGCAGAACCTAGCACTTAGTAGATACTCAAAAATTATTTGCTGAATAAAAAAAGGTTAAACATGTAATATACACAAAATGTACTGGAAAAAATGCACCAAACAATTTTGTTATACCAGTTTAATGTAAATATTGTCTTTAAAAGATAATATAGTTTTCAGGTGTCTACAGTGATTTTGTAATATTTGTGCACATATAAAGTAATATTTCCAAAAATGTAATCCAGTGGGGAAATATACTTTCTAAATTCTAGATTTATAATTTAGGGTTTAAATTATAAAATCATTAAATAAGACACAAGTGAAATATAGTCAAATATCCCCTTGGAAAAAAATTAAGTGGCCTCTAAAGTGAGGTATTCATATATGTAATTTTACAATCCTCTAGTGATAGAATTAATTAAATATGCCACCAAATTGATTAATTCCTACAGTGTTAAAAGAGAAGCACTAACAATGCCAGTGACCATGTAACATGGATTTAAGCTACAAGTCATAGAAATGTGATGAGAAGCCTCAGCACTGTAAAACCGAGGGTGGAGGAAAGCTTTTCCTCTCTCAAATGAGCTTTGCGAGGTATACTTCTTGAAGGATAGGAAGTTGAAGTGTTCAGGACTTTTATGTCTATTCTACTTTGGCTTAGTTTACATGATTCTTAGTTTATTAGCCTAGAAATGGCCAAGAAAACTTAAGGCTCAATATTTAGTTATAAATATGAAATATCCCCAATTTTTAAGATAAAAACAACTTATAAATGTATTTGTCTGTAAAAATTGTGTATATTTTTACAGAACATCTATTTCTTTCTTTATTTTTTTATTTTTTTTATACTTTAAATTCTAGGGTACACATGAACAATGTGCAGGTTTGTTGCATATGTATACGTGTGCCATGTTGGTGTGCTGCACCCATTAACTCATCATTTATGTTAGGCATATCTCCTAATGCTATCTCTCCCCCCTCCCCCCACCCCACAACAGGCCCTGGTGTGTGATGTTCCCCTTCCTGTGTCCAAGTGTTCTCATTGTTCAATTCCCACCTATGAGTGAGAACATGCGGTGTTTGGTTTTTTGTCCTTGCGATAGTTTGCTGAGAATGATGGTTTCCAGCTTCATCCATGTCCCTAGTAAGGACATGAACTCATCATTTTTTATGGCTGCATAGTATTCCATGGTGTATAATGAACCTGAAACGGGAAAGGGCGAGATTAACTAAGCCTGTTTGCCATGGACAGCAATGGGGTTGCTAGAAGATTAGCTGTGTGGAAAAATTATGCATTTACCTTTGGGCATAATAAAATGCAATTGACTCTCCATATTCATGGGTTCTGCATCCACTGATTCAAACAACTGTGGAACAAAATTGTCAGAAAAAACAATACAACGATAAAAAATGATACAAATAAAAAACAACATGGTATACCAACTATTTACGTAGCATTTACATCGTATTAATTGTTATTAAGTAATCTAGAGATTATTTAAAGTATATAGGAGGATGTGTGTAGGTTATATGCAAATACTACACTATTTTATACCAGTAACTTGAGCATCCATGGATTTTGGTATACAAGGGGGATCCTGGAACCAATTCCCCATGAATATCAAAGGATGACTGTATGAGTTATCTGTAAAATGGTTTGGTTGAAATGTTTAGAAAACAGCTAGAAATACAAGACTGGCTGTTGGATGAAAAAAACATAGGACTAGGAAATTCAGGTATGCTAGTCTTTTTGAGTATTGCTTAAAGCCATGGGAAAAGAGCTCTCTGTGAGTTCCAAGACAGATGCAAGGACTGGCATTCATGCACAGCTTCTAACAGATAAATCTGAAGAGTTCTTAGTATGCATGTTGACTGAAATTACTTTAGAAGTAATTTTTCTCCTGGTGATAAAAGGCATGTAAGGCTATTTTAGGAAATTGAAAAATGCAAAAAGGTATAAAGAAAAAGAAAAGATAATCATTAATAGTACGTTAGTAAACAAGACTTGACTAAAGATACGACTTTCCTCCCGCTTGTTTTCTTATGCATATAAAGGGATAGGAAATATGTATGTATGTATGTGTGTGTATAGGATCATGCACTGTATATAGCTTGCTTCTTTTTCCATTATGATAATTTTCCCATGTCATGAATTACGGCTTGCAAGTGCTTATTCTTAAAGGGCTGCATTATTTTTCATTATTTGGATTTATTGTTATTTAATTGGAGCTCTATTATTGAACATTTAGATTGCTTCCAAAATTTTTTGCTCTTGTTAATATATTGTAATAAACTTCTGTGAAACACATACTCTTCACCTGCTACTTACATATGACTTCTGTAAGCAGAGACCTCTGTATCCCCAGGACCTAGAAGGTTACCCAGACATAGTAGTTGCTTAATTAAAAAAAATTATTGATTGAATGAAAGAAGACTATTAAATGTTCAGTTCTTCTTTTTTTATTCTGATTCCCTGTGTATCCAGGGGCCTCTTATTTGGCTGCATATATGAGTTTGGCTGTAATGAAAGTATTGGCCGTATATGACCATAAACAGGCATTCCTATTTCTGTCACAGTTATATTTGTCATTCTGTATTAATACATCTATATCCTGATTTCTATTGAAGCATGGTTAATTTTGTTTGCTTCTAAGCAATGTAGCTACCCTGTTGATGCTGATAAAAATAAATTTCTGAACCTATAAGACTGAGGATTGGGCCTAGGTTGTAGTAAATTGGCAAGATAATGGATGCTACCCTGTCAAGAGTCCTCTGAAGAGAAAAGTCTGCCACCCTTCACCAGGTAGAAACTCCAGGCAGTGCCACATTTTCCAGTTTGACGCCCTGTGATACCCTGAAAAGACAGATGTTTGACTCTTTTCAAATAATATTTTAACATATTTTAAGACGCAAAGGCATTGTGTCGGACTTTTTTCTTAAGAATATATTTCATTACCACTCAGAAGTTAGCTTCCAAAAGAAATAAGTGTGTGCAAAGGTTTATGATAGTGGTGTAGAGAAGTTTTTAAAATAAATGTGCATCTTTTATGGTAATAAAAGTACATTACGAAGAATTTTTTAGGTCCAGTTCACAGATTCCTTGTGCCTGGGGAAAACTTTATTAGAAAATTAGATAATTTCTAATTTGATTAGGGGAAGTCTAATGGGAAAACTTTTTAACTGAGTGGTCCAATTTGAAACATGAATATCTGTGCTGGAAGCTTCTATTGAACTTTACTTAAGTCACATCTGAGCCCCTCTGCCTGTCAGTCCACCATTACCCTAACAGTGGTAGAAATTCTTTATATGACACCTAGATCTTTTTTTGTTGCACTTTTAAGCTGTGTAGGAAACACACTGCCCACATGTTCATACAACACAGAGTGATTATCCACTTAGTTCCTAAAAAGTTGTGTTTGGTTATGGGATTTGATCCCACTTGTCCAGGGTTTAGGTCAGCTACTGAAGATTAGGATATCTGGGTACCTCTTACTGGAGAATCCATTCCTGTTTTCATTTCATTC
Organism: Homo sapiens; assembly: GCF_000001405.40. Classification (NCBI taxonomy): domain Eukaryota; kingdom Metazoa; phylum Chordata; class Mammalia; order Primates; family Hominidae; genus Homo; species Homo sapiens. The sequence goes on along the minus strand of NC_000009.12, from coordinate 63,028,433 downwards.
CTGGGGGCAATATTCAATCTGGTGTGGCCCTCTGTATTATAAAATGTTTCCCAGATTGTGTTTATCTGAAATACAAATCCAAGAAGAAGCATGGTGTTAATTGCCATGTAAAAAAGATTCCAGAGTCAAGAGCTTGAGAAGTTCTATTCCTTCCTTCATAGGTTCAGTTGTTTAACCCAGCATTTTTCAAACATATTTTACTCCTAGAACCTGTTTTTCCTCAGACATATTTAAGAAAAAAGCGTTTTGTAGAACACATTTGGACAAATGATACTTTATATCATTGCTTTGTTTTTTAAATTTTAGTTTGACTCAATTTTACAGTTTCAGGATTTTGTTTCTGTTTCAGGTTTTAAGCTTTTCTTTTATAAATAGTTACTTTCCTAGTCTGAAATCTATACATTGTTTCAGTAATGAATTCATTATGTAAATTTGCCCATCATTCATCTAAAGGGAATAAACATTAAATTGTTTTTTTAAATTTTGACTTGTGTCACATATGAGAATATAAAGTATATCTGTACAATAAAGCAAAATGAAACATCAAAGTATCTACCTCAGGTTAAGAAGCAGAACTTGGCTGGGCATGGTGGCTCACACCTGTAGTCCCAGCACTTTGGGAGGCAGAAGTGGGAAGATCACTTGAAGCCAGGAGTTGGAGACCAGCTTGTTCAGTAAAGGAAGACCTCATCTCTAACAACAACCACAACAGCAAAAAATTAGCCAGGCACGGTGACACATGCTTATAGTCCCAGCTACTGGTGCAGCCTCGAACTCCTGGTCTCAAGCCATCTTCCCACCTCAGCCTCATGTTGTAGTGAACTTTGTTATGCAGTGTCTCCTATTCTACTTGTGCAGGAGTATTTTTCCAGTATGTACCTGGAGTGGAATTGCTTGGTCATTGGGCATGTGTGTGTTCAGCTCTATTGAGTGGCATCATACTGTTCTCCAAGGCAGTTGTACCAATCTACACCCTCACCAGCAGTGAATAGTCTTCCCATTGTTCTTCCTCAATGAAACTAGATATTCACAGCCTTTTAGGTTTTTCCTAGAGTATGAAGTGGTATCTCTTTGGGGTTTTAATATTTATTTCCCTGATTAGAATTGTAGTTGAGTATCTTTTATTATGTTTATGGGCCATTTATGTTTTCTCTTCTGTGAAATTCCTATTCGGGTTTTTTGCTTATTTTAAATGTTGTTGTTTGTGTTTTTCTTATATAGGAATTCTTCACGCATTCAAGATGCACGTATGTTGTTCAGCATAGTACCTGAGACATAGAAACAACTTTGTAAGAATAGCTATCATTACATTACCATTGTATTTAATCCTTTGTTTTTATGTGTTACAATTATCTTCTGCTAATTTGTGGCTTATTTTTCATTTTGTAATGCTCATTTTTTAACCTAGTATTCTATTATTTTAAAAATACACAATCTTGAGTAGTCTACATGTTCATAACCATGACATATTCATGTTGCATTTGTTCTGTGTCATAACCCAGAACTTTCTTTTTTTTTTTTTTTTTGAGATGGAGTTTTGCTTTTGTCACCCAGGCTGCAGTGCAATGGCGTGATCTTGGCTCACTGCAACCTCTGCCTCCTGGGTTCAAGAGATTCTCCTGCCTCAGCCTCCCGAGTAGCTGGGATTACAGGCACCTGCCACCATGCCCAGCTAATTTTTGTATTTTTAGTAATGGTGTTGTTTCGCCGTGTTGGCCAGGCTGGTCTCGAAATCCTGACCTCAGGTTATCTGCCCACCTTGGCCTCCCAAAGTGTTGAGATTACAGGCATGAGTAGCTGCACCCGGCCAACTTTCAATCTTAAGTACCATTTTTTGCTGCTGTTTCTTTTTTTGAACCCCAGGAAAAAATTAACTCATTTAATCCCCTATTCAAACTGCTACAATTTTATTTTCAGTGTTGTCGCCTGGTTGTAGATGCATTTGTCTCTCCAAATGCACTGTGATTATTTCGAAGACAAAACATTTTTGGCATTGTGATATATATATATATATGTATGTATATATGTATATAATATATATTGTATAAATATTTATGTTTTATATATCATATAAAATTTATATATAAAAATTATATATATATATATATATATATATATATATATATAAAAATGCCACTTATCCCTAATATAGGGACTCGATTAGTTTCTGCTAGTGTGGAGACAAGTCATATCATGGCTAGGGGCCATGATGGTAGGAGCAGTCAGAGGATTTCTTGCATTGTGATGAGTGCCTATAAGTTAAATGAGCCACTTATCAGTAGATTTGATAGCAGGATAATAGTTATATCACTGATACCTAGGCAGTACATGACACTCGGTAAAGAATAGATTAATCCTCGTGCTCTTCATCTTCCTCCTAATCTCTTTACCTGTGCTGCCCTCCAGCTTTCAAAGTGCTCTGAGTCATCACTTACACAGTGTTCCTTAGCTGCCCCTTCAGTGAGCCAGTGTTTCTGTGCCCCAGTGTTCCTGAGAGTTAGAACACAGAAAACAGAGCAGGCTCTTGCCCACATCACAGAACATCTTTGTCTCCCTGTGGATCCCGCACATTTGTTCATTAGAGCTCAGGAATTGCCAGAGACTGGCTTTTGTGGCAATGGACACTAGATTCTTCAGAAGAATATTGGTTGAAATCTTCCTGCTGTGACAATTCCCTGCATGCAGGGCAGGAGTGTGTGCTTCTTCCCAGCAAAGGCAGAGGCAGGGCCTACAGAAACTGTGCCCGCAGCCTATAGTGATGGGGTCTATGAGGTAATTCAGGCAGATGAGGCAGGTGAGTTCTTTCTGGAAGGCTTGTGGGAAGTCTAAGTCCATTTTTCTGAGGGAAGAAAACCAGAAGAATTTATTCTTATGCCACAGAGAGGCAAAGATCTACACAAAGTTTGAATCAGGTTTTGAGTAGGATTCGCTCACAGGTTTAAATCTATAGCAGGATACGATTTTATTTTGCACATAACAAAAATGAAAAACTGAGGCATAGAATTCAAGCTTTGCAGAAAAATGTGTTGGCTCCCTAACCAACACACACACACACACACACACACACACACACACACACACACACACCTACTTTCCAAATTCTTTCCTCCTGTATGAAAAAAACTTAAGGCTGGGCACAGTGGCTCATGCTTGTAATCCAGCACTTTGGGAGGCTGAGGCAGCAGGATTGCTTGATCCAAGGAGTCCAAGACCAGCCTGGGCAACATGATGAGACCCTGTCTCTACAAAAAGAAAAGGAGAAAAAAATTAGCTGAGCATGCCAATAGTCCCAGCTACTAGGGAGGCTGAGGTGAGAGGATTGCTTGAGCCTAGGAGGTCAAGGCGGCAGTGAGCCATAATCCAGCCACTACACTCTAGCCTGAATGACAGAGCAAGACTCTGTCTCAGAAATGAACAAAGAAAGAAAAAGAGAGAGAGAGAGGGAGGGAAGGAGGAAGGAAGGAAGGAAGAAAAGGAAGGAAGGAAGTTTACAGAGTTTTTTGAGGTGTTAGTGTTCCCTAAATTGTATGGTCTTCAGAGGTTTACCCTCCTATAGCTTCAAGGGGTGAGTCCTGACTGGTAGGAAAATCAATCACACTCTTACTTGCCAGTGATTCATTTAGGGAAGACAGCTAACTAAGCTCTTCCACTTTGATTATTTCATTTAATTGTAACAACCGTCTTATTATGACTTCTTCAAAATTACCCTGCCAGTAAGTGTTGGAGGACTCCCCAGAAGCAGAAACCACCATGCTTCCTGTATAGCCTACGGAACCATGAGCCAACTAAAGGTGTTTCTCAGGTATTTCTTTATATCTTTGGCCAAAATTAAAGAGTTAGGCTTTACTCTCCAAGATACTGCAATGGACAAAAACAAGCCACCACTGTTTTCTAATGTTGTTGTCTTGTTAATTCAATCAACAAGTATTTTCTGGTAAGTTTAGTGTTCCAGAGACTGGTAACCTGGTGATGCACCAGTTAATAAAACATCCTTAAGAGAAATAAAAGTTGAAAAATGAACCAGATGATAAAATGCAGTAGTGTACACAATGCCACTTATCCACAGGTCTTCTGTGTGTCACCCATGATCCAGAAAATGTCTTTAGTGTAAGCCATTGATAAAGATGCCTGAAAAATTTACGTATAGAAGACATAGTCACAAAATTATTTTTTTCCTTTGATATCCCTTGTTACTTCAAACAGAATTTACCACTCCAATTCGATTTCTGAATACATGGGAGTTAATAGAATACTTCTAATCCATTTATAGGATCTACACTAAGTAAAAAAATTAAAGACATCTGAAAACTATTTTGTGAGTCCTTATAATCCATATCAACAATCATGGAATATATTAAGTAATAGACCAAAAATTAATCATCATATTAACCAAAAACACATAGCAAGACAAGATAACTAAATATTTTCATTTGGAAATTGGGAAATTTAGTCAATTTTAAAACTCAGCAAATGAGATCATTTCACAGAAGCAACCTAGGTTTGCTGGTAAATTAAAATTATGACGTTTTGGTTTGGGAGGGTAGTTCCTCTTCTGTAAATTGTGTACTCACATAAGAAATATATCTATGTTCTCATGGACACTTGCTGTAGAGGTAATAATATGAAGTTAGCTCAGGGATCAGGGCCTCACAGTGCAGTGCTGGTAGTTTTTTTTGTTTTTGTTTTTTTTTTTTTTTTTTGCCCTGCACCTTGAGTAAAAGTTTCCTGAGGCCTCTCCGGAAGCAGAAACCACCATGCTTCCTGTATAGCCTATGGAACTGTGAGCCAACTAAAGGTATTTCTCATGTATTTCTTTATAGGAATGCAAGAGCGTACTAATACAGCTAAGCAGAGGCCATCAGGACCAGCAAAAGTCTGAGCTGGATGAGAGACAAAGCTAAACTTTGAGCAGCAGCAGGAGCTGCCAGGGATTACAGAAAGGAAGGACTGACTCCTAAATTCCAGGATGTCTCCTTTAAGTCTGTAAGAAGCTCAGCCACTGTCTCCTTACCTGACTCCTCTGGGAAACCAGAGTTTCCCTAGGTTAAACCATACAGGGATAGGGTAGGAGATGCCATTTGGATCTAGGAGCAGAGGGCAGAGACTCAGCAGGAAGAGTGTCTCTTTGAGAAGGATACACAGTGGAGCAGGTGTGTAGGTTCACAGGGCCAGCTATGGGTAGAGTCGGGTGTACATTTTTAGAAGCCACAATTCCCAAAAATCTCCTGACTATAAGATCAGTGCACAGAGCCAGTCAAATGGAGGAGGAGTGGGTCCAGGCAATTCAGGAAGAAGGAAAGTAACAAATGAGTGGTTGCAGGAGGACACTTTTTCTGTCGAGGTCACTAAACAAAACATTGTCTCCTCCCCTTAACTTCGGAAACAATGGAGGGTAAAAGTGTTGCCTGGGCCCTGGGGGCAAAGGCAGTAGATAACTTCTCTGTCGTGTTCTCCAGAAGGGCCCATTCCAGCCTCACAGGCCGAGAAGTCTGTTCGGTTCCCAAGTACTAGAGATGCTGCTATAAGGGACTCCTGAATTTCCTTCCTGAACCAGAGGCTGCCCAGCCTTTTCTTCCTGTTTTATTTTTTCCCAGGAAGAAACTTGCCTGTACAATTACAAGGTTCTACGGTTCTAAATTCCAATCTAGTCTTCCACATCATTTTGAAGGTATAATATTACTTGTCAAAGTGGGATGATAGAAGATATGTGTGGACATAAATTGTTGACAAGGAAAAAAACTAAAATCAGAAAATAAGAAAAAATATATGTATGTACAGTGGTTAGCTAGAAATGTGCCTTTTAAATATTTGGCATGTGGTATGTGGGCCTCAATGTGTACTATTGCACTAGCTTCCCAAATATTAAAGGATGTCTTTTAAAAGAAAAACCTCTTGCTAAAAGGTTAACAGTTAAAATAACCAGAGTGGCACAGGTACCAGTCATTAAGTGAAACCTTTCATCTTCCCAGAATAGTACCTGTTCCCAAGCCAGCTTCTTTGAAAATCACTTTTCTCTCCTTTACTATTTAGTTTACAGATTGTATAGTAACAATACAGAAACCACAATAGTAGCAAAAAAAATAAAGAATATTTTTAAATGAAAACTCACATCCTAACTCTACCAAAACATGAAAATTAAACCTGAATGCCTCCCATTCCTGATATATTTTCACCTAAATATTCAGCTCTGGGATTGCATTGTTTTTGGATTGAGTGGAAATTATTGCCTGGTCTTGAAATCTTCCATAATGTGTGTGTGTGTGTGTGTGTGTGTGTGTGCGTGTGCGTGTGCGTGTGTGCATGTGTGTGTGTGTATATGTATGTGTGGTGAATATATTTCTTTTTGTTCGGAGCAAAGATTTTTTCAATATGTATATTTATTTTAGGCAGATTATGCTAGTAATTTTCTACAAATGTGCTTTTTAAAAAATAACCTTTAATTTAAAAAAAATTATTCTTACTCAGTGGCCCACAATTGTTAAAAACGCTACTAATGGAGCTGGGTATGGTGACACACACCTGTCATCCCAGCTACTTGGGAGACTGAGGCAGGGGTATTGCTTAAACTTGGGAATGTGAAACCAGCCTGGGCAACATAGTGAGATCCCAATCTCAAAAATCAATCATTAAAAAATAAAATAAAACACTACTAATAGCTTTTTAAAAAATAGTTCTTAACCAATTTTCCTAGCACCTTCCTTTCCTCAGTGAAGTATAGAAATATGTGGTCAGTCACTGTGGCTCACACCTATAATCCCAATAATTTGGGAAGCCAAGGCATGAGGATCAGTTGATTCCAGGAGTTCAAGACTAGCCAGGGTGACATAATGAGACTTGGTCTCTAACGAAATTTTTTTTTCTTTAATTACCAGGGCATGAGGGTGCATGCCTGTAGCCCAGCTACTTGGAAGGCTGAGGTAGGAGAATCACTTGAGCCCAGGAGGTGAAGGCTGCAGTGAGCCATGGTTGCACCACTGCACTCCATACCTGGGTGACAGAGTGAGACACAGTAACAAAAACAAACAACAACAAAAAGTATTTGTTTTAGAAAAAACATTTGGTGAGATTTGGGCTTAAAAATATATTATTCTAAAATATTCATAAATATTCTCTAGTAATGATAAGATTAAAGTGACAAAGACAAACTTTTTTCCTGTGCAGTTCCATCTCTCACCTTCCTGTAATTTGTCTGTCCCATCCAGCTTCCAAAGGAAATTATTTACAAAATAATGTCTGCATCCTGGGTCTATATATCTATTGCCTATGAGGAGAGCGTTTAAGATCTGAGCCGTCTTCAAGTCTTATACTTTGTGTATAGCTCTCATGTTTTTGCAGGTTATGTAAGTTTGTATACCCTTTCTTTTATTAATCTGTGTATGGTCAGTTCATTTCCGGTAATCTTCAGAGGGTGAAAGGGGAAGCTTTTCACTTCACTCCTACTGTGACAACTAACTACCTTCTTACTTATTCAATTTTTTAGTCTATATCAACATTTTTATATACATTTACTTTTAAACAAAATTTTGCATCATTACACTTAAAATTTTATTTAACTTTTAAAAAGGAAATTAAAAATAAAATTAAAAATTATAAAATTTTACATAATAAAAATAAAATAAATGATTTATATAAAAATTAATCTGACCTGTGAAAAACACTGTCCAGAGGCCAGGTGCGGTGGCTAACGCTTGTAATCCCAGCACTTTGGGAGGCCGAGGTGGGTGGATCACGAGGTCAGGCGATCTAGACCACGATGAAACCCCTCTCTACCAAAAATACAAAAAATTAGCGGGGCGTAGTGGCGGGCGCCTGTAGTCCCAGCCACTCGTAGAGGCTGAGGCAGGAGAATGGCGTGAACCCGGGAGGCGGAGCTTGCAGTGAGCCGAGATCGTGCCACCGAAATCCAGCCTGGGTGACAGAGCCAGACTCTGTCAAAAAAAAAAAAAAAGAAAAAAGAAAAACACTATCGAGAGAATAAAAAGACAAATCACAGACTGGGAGTAAAAATTTACAAAAGCTATATCTGGTGAAGATACATTTGTTATCCAAAATATGCAAAGAACTCTCAGGACTCAATAATAGGAAAACAAATAGTCTAACACAAATGTAGAGATCTGAACAGACATTTCACCATAGAATACAGATGGACGATACATAAGCACATCATTCATCATTAGGGAAATGTAAATTAAAACCACAATGAGATACTGTTACTTGCCTATTAGAATAGCTAAAATTTAAAAGACTGACCATACTAAACATTGGTGAGAACACAAAGGAACAGGAATGCTCATATACTGCTGCTGGAAATACAGCCACTTTGTCAGTTTCTTTAAAAGTTAAACTGGCTGGGAGCGGTGGCTCACGCCTGTAATCCCAGCACTTTGGGAGGCCAAGGCGGGCGGATCACGAGGTCAGGAAATCGAGACCATCCTAGCTAACACGGCGAAACCCCATATCTACTAAACATACAAAAAATTAGCCGGGCGTGGTGGCGAGCACCTGTAATCCCAGCTACTCCAGAAGCTGAGGCAGGAGAATGGCGTGAACCCGGGAGGTGGAGCTTGCAGTGAGCCGCGATGCACCACTGCACTCCAGCCTGGGCGACAGAGCGAGACTCCGTCTCAAAAAAAAAAAAAAAAAAAAAAAAAAGTTAAACATATCACACCACCTAGTCATTCAAATCCTGCTTATTTGCCCAAGACAAATGAAAGTGTATGTCCAAACGATTGGACAAACATTCGTAGCAACTTTATTTGAAATAGCAAAAACAACTGGAAGCAAACCAAATGTCCATCAAGAGGTGAATAGATACACTAACTGTAGAATATCCACACAATAAAACTATTTTTTTAAAAACTACGGGGCAAAAAACAAAAAACCAAAGATAGAATCTAATTTCTTGGTAAATACATTCACTATTAGGGTTTTTATAACAGAGAAGTCATTCTTTATTAACACTCTTTTGACTATGAAAATATTTTGACATCAAAAATCTGCAAAATATGAAGAAACAAAGGACACACAGCTTTTTCTATTTTTTATTTTTATTTTATTTTTATTTTTTTGAGAAGGAGTCTCTTTCTGTCACCCAGGCTGGAGTGCAGTGGCGCGATCTTAGTTCACTGCAAGCTGCGCCTCCCGGTTCACGCCATTCTCCTGCCTCAGTCTCCCGAATAGCTGGGACTACAGGCGCCCGCTACCAAGCCCGGCTAATTTTTTGTATTTTTAGTAGAGACGGGGTTTCACCGTTAGCCAGGATGGTCTCAATGTCCTGACCTCGTGATCTGCCCGCCTCGGCCTCTCAAAGTGCTGGGATTACAGGCGTGAGCCACCACCCCCGGCCCCAGGACACACAGCTTTAAAATTTCTCCTTGGTCTCACCCAGTGCCAACCACCTAAAACCTCTCATTTTCCCCCAGACATTTCTTCTGCCTCCAGGATGGAGGTAGAGAATCTTGGCCTTGGACCACGCACTGGGGACCATGCTGGGCTGCCGTGGACAGTGACGGACTCAGGTTCTCACCAGGATCCCCAAAATAGGCCCCTGAAAAAAATGTTACCATCAGGGTGCGCTCCCTGATTCTTGTGTCTGCTGGAAGGAGGAAATCAAGCCAGGAACATTGTCAGGATAGAGATGAAAATGGGGCTCACTTTTCTGTCTTTTGTGATGTCAGACAAGCCTTTCAGCTCTGTCTCTTCAGCCCTCATGGAATTGTTTGGTGTGGACGCACCGAGATTCTGAACTGGGTCCCCTTTCCCTCTGCCCTTCTCTGGGGCCAGATTCTGAGCTCTCCATTCCAATTTTTCCCCCAATTTGCCCTTGCATTTATTTATCTGGATTACTGTCTGCCTGTCCCAAAGAATAAAAGCTTTATCACAGTGGGGATTTTGTTTAAAAAAATAATAATAACAGCTATATTTTTAGGATCCATGACACTGTCCAGCATATCGGTGGTATCTGATAAAAAATGTTTGTTGACTGGATGAACAAATATATTATTCACAATTCACATTATCCTGAACTGGCTAGAAAATTAAATATCTGATATCAGTATTGGCAATATTATGAAGTAAATATAAGTCTGATACAGTGCTCGTGAAAGTCTAATATGCAATGCTCATTTTAGAAAACATTTTCTTGTAGATTTGAAAATGTTTCATCTCCATGAACTAGTTGTATATCTGCAAGTTGTGTATCTTTGGGTTAGGCAGAATAATTGCCCCCCACCAAAGACAGCCACATCCCAGTCTTCAGATAAGGTGAACATGCTAACGTAAGTTAGCATGTTCAAAGAGACTTGGCAGATGTGATTACCATTAAGGGCATTGAAATGGGGAAATTACCTTGAATTACCTTGGTGAGCCAGTCTAATCTCATAATTCCTTGAGAGCAGAGAATATTTTCTGGATGCTGAGATTCAGACAGATGGCAGTATGAGAAAGATGTGGCCTGCTATTACTGGCTTTTAAAACAGTGGTAGGGGGCCACAAGCCAAGAAAAGCCAGTGACCTTTAGAAGCTGGGAATGACCCAAAGTTTACAACCAGGAAGAAACTGAGGATCTACAACCACAAGGAACTGAATTCTGCCAACAACCCAGATGCTCTTTTAGAGCCTTCAGAAAGAAATGCAGCCTGCCAACATCTTGATGTTAGTTCAGTGAGAGCCATGCCAGATTTCCAACCAAAACAATTCTAAGACAATAAGTCTGTGTGTGTTTTTTAAAACTGACTCAAATCTTACAAAAATGTGTTCTTTTAAGCCACTGAATTTGTGGTAAATTGTTACAGCAGGAATAGAAAACTGATACAACCCTAGAGAAAGTCTTGTACATGTGCCCTATAAACACACAGCAGAATTTTTTTAACTTTTTATTGAGTTAAAAAATATATATATATAATTTACCATCTGTACATTTTTAGAGGACAGTTTAGTGGTGATAAATACATTTATATTTTCTTCTCTTAATCTCCTCTTCCCACTCCCCTTGCTGGCCTCTAGCAACCACCAATTTACTTTCTATCTTCATGAGATCCACTTTTTTACTGCCCACATATGAGTGACAACATGTGGTATTTGCCTTTCTGTGCTTGGCTCATTCCACTTAACATAATGGCCTATGTTCATTACGTTAAACCAAATGGCCAGTGCCACCTATGTTGCTGTGAATGACAGAATTTCATTCTTCTTTGTTTCTGAGTAGTATTGCATTATGTATATATATGACTTTTAAAATCTATTCATTTGTTGATGAGCACTTACGTTGATTCCATATTTTGTCTATTGTGAATAGTGCTGCAGTACACATCGGCATGTAGATATGTCTTTGATACATTAATTTCCTTTATTTTGGATATACATCCAGTAAAGAAATTGCTGGACCACATGGTAGTTCTATTTTTACTTTTTTGAGGAACCTCCATACTATTCTCCATAGTGGCTTTATTAATGTGGATTCCCACCAACAGTGTACTAGTATTTCCCTTTCTCCATATCCTTGCCAGCATCTGTTATTGCCTGTCTTTTTGAAACAAGTCATTTCAACCAAGGTGAGATGATATTGCATTGTGATTTTGATTTGCATTTCTTTGACGATTAGTGATACTGAATATTTTTTGTCTTCCTATTGGCCATTTGTTTGTCTTCTTTTGAGAAAATATCTGTTCAGATCTTTAGCCCATTTTTAAATTGTATTTATTTATATATTTTTAACTATTTTTTTTGAGAAGTAAGGTCTTGCTTTGTCACCCAAGCTAAAGGGCAGTAGCATAATCATAGCTCACTGTAACCTCAAACTCCTGGGATTAAGAAATCCTCCTGACCGGGCGCGGTGGCTCACGCCTGTATTCCCAGCAATTTGGGAGGCAGAGGTGGGCGGATCACGAGGTCAGGAGATCGAGACCATCCTGGCTAACATGGTGAAACCCCATCTCTACTAAAAATACAAAAAATCAGCCGGGATTGGTGCCGGGCGCCTGTAGTCCCAGCTACTCAGGAGGCTGAGGCAGGAGAATGGCGTGAACCCCGGGGGAGCAGAGCCTGCAGTGAGCCGAGATCACGCCACTGCACTCCAACCTGGGCGACAGCGAGACTCCATCTCATTAAAAAAAAAAAAAAAAAAAAAAAAAAAAAAAAAAAAAAGAAATCCTCCTACCTCAGCCTCTTCAGTAGCCCATTTTTCAATCAGATTTTTTGTTTGTTTATTATTGAGTTGTTTGAGCTCCTTATATATTCTACTTGTTAATCCTTTGTCAGATAGATAGTTTGAAAATATTTTGTCCCATTCTGTGCTTGGCTCTTCACTTTGTTGATTGTTTCCTTTGCTTGAGGCTTTTTAGTTTGATATAATCCCATTGTCTATTTTTGCTTTTGCTGCCTGTGCTTCCGAGGTCTTACGCAAAAAAATCTTTGCCCAGACTAATGTCCTGGAGCATTTCTCCTATGCTTTCTTTCTTTCTTTTTTTTTTTTTTCACGCCATTCTCCTGCCTCAGCCTCCCGAGTAGCTGGGACTACAGGCGCCCACCATCATGCCCCGCTAATTTTTTTTTTGTTTTTTGTATTTTTAGTAGAGACGGAGATTCACCGTGTTAGCCAGGGTGGTCTCGATCTCCTGACCTTGTGATCCGCCCGCCTTGGCCACCCAAAGTGCTCAGATTACAGACAAGAGCCACCGCGCCCGACCTTTCCTATTTTTTTTTTTTTTTTTACTAGCTTCATAGTTTCAGGTCTCAGATTCAAGTCTTTAATCCATTTTTATTTGATTTGATTTTTTTGTATGGTGAGATGGGTTTAATTTTATCCTTCTGCATATGGTTATTCAGTTTTCCCAGGATCATTTATTGAAAAGACTGTTGTTTTCCCAGTGTATGTTCTTGATGCCTTTGTCAGAGATGAATTGTTTGTAAATGTGTAGATTTGTCTGCGATCTCTATTCTGTTCCACTGTCCTATGTGTCTGTTTTTATGCCAGTAGAAATATATTGGCAATAATTAGTACAGAAGAGCTGAAACAATGAAATGACAAAAGTGAATTATACTGATATAATTCATTATGCTCACTAAATGCAATAGCATACAGCTAGGAAAACAAAGTAGTGCACACGGTATTAAAATACAACACAATTCAATATACACAGTGCTCACAGTGGCCATCGTTAGAGTGTTGAAGAAGGGGATGTAGTCAGCAAAAGTTGTACAGGTGACTTCAAAAGTAATCATAAGCACTTATGATTACTTTTGGCTTAATTTCTTAAACCAAGACTGGAGACACAGGTGTTCATTATGTGCTTATTATATATATAAAATAAATATTTTATAAATATATTGTTTCTATTCAGTATTTAATAAAGTAAATCAGTAGAAAAGGTTAAAAAGCAATGCACACATATTTCAAATATTTTTTGCTCCAAATTATATAAACATTGCATAGTTATTGCCCTGGGCCTGGCAAGGTGACTCACACCTCTCATCCTAGCACTTTAGGAGACTGAGGCAGGAGGATAGCTTCAGCCCCAGAGGTCAAGGCTGCAGTGAGCCTTAATTGCACTACTGCACTCCAGCCTAGGTGACAGAGCAAGATGCTGTCTGAAGATAAAAATAAAAATAAGTTAATAAATATATGTTTATATATTAACTGATTTTATTAACTATATATATATATATAGTTGTTGTCTTGGTCTATAGGCAATCTTACAGTGCTTAAGACTTTGATACTGAGAACAGATCTCCTAGGTATATGCTATGTTTCTGGGGTGATATGATGCTCTCATCTGGCCTCCGTGAGCCTAATTCTATCTTACATTTACCCCACTCTTCAACAACAACTTGGGGAGGTGTCCCTAAACATTCCTAGGTGAACCCAAACCTGTGGCCCTCAACACATTTCTAGGTAAAGCAAGCTCCTGACATATCTGTGGATATCCTCTCACTGGAAGAAGGGGGAAGAGACCATCTCAAAATAATTCATTTAATATAGCTTTTCAGCATTAATTTTATTTTGATAAAGAGACACACAGTAAATAAAATTTCTAAAAAACTATAAACTTTCAAGCATTCTCACGCTAAATCTAGCCCTGCTTACATGCCAGGGAAATATAAAGGTAATCTGTTTCTCAACCTGACCAGGATGCTACAGTAATTAAAAATAAACTCAATCCCTGGATCCCTACCAAAGGGACATTTCATATGGATCAAAGTTCTGGAAAAATTATTTGTCTGGAAATAGACTAATTCTCCAAAATATAATTGAAATAACAGCCTCTGGAAAGGGCCAAATACGACTCTTAATGAAACAACAGCTAAATATAGGTCTGATGCTCATTCCGTGTGGACAACAATAGCAGCCATTCCCACAAATGGCTGATTTGTGGGAAGTAAACACTACTTTTGCAGAATCTTTCATGATTTCAGTAGAAGGTCAAGGACATTTCAGTTGGGAACAGATTGCTCCATGGTAATACGATCACTATGTACCCAACAATGGCTCTTTCTTCCTAGCCTCAATGCAGATGTTATTTTCACCTTAACTATTATCATTGCTGTTTCTAACCACATAAAAGTGTATCCTTTATATATCTGAAGTAAATTCATACTAGTGGTGTAACATCTCCAGCCATTTAAGTGTAAAAACAGAAAACATATGATGTGTTTACTTACTGTTTTATACTCCTAATGCATGAAGAGAAGATCCTTTTATTCATTGCCTATACTTTTATTTCTAAACTTTCTGTAACACTTTATCTTATATCCAGCATAGAATTGAGATTTGCTTTTTGATTTAATCTGACAATATTTTTTCCTCTAATAAGAGTCAAGCCCACTTACTTTTAATGATAAATTGTGTTTGGTTATATTTTGATTACAGTATATTATGCTATGATTTATATGCACATATCTGTCTTTTGCTGTCTTGTTTTATTGCTTTTGTTTTGATGTTGTGATATTTGGAAGAGTTAAACTTTTATTCTGATGGCTACCTTATGTAATTTCATAAAATCATCTCTTTCTTTAGACAGTAGCTAATGTCTCTAAACTAAGAACAATGGTATTAGCTGTATTCTCTTTCTTGTCCTCCCTATGTGATTTTTCATCCCACAATTTGATTTAATCATATTAACTTTGTTTCCCCTGGTGCCATTAAGTATGCTTACATTTCTATAAACAATATCCTTTGACTCCCAGGCATTACAGATGAGCAGTCAGTAAAATCATTCTGAGGAATACTTTCTCTTTCCTTTTCTTCCATTTTTCTTAGTTGTATCATTTCTATATTGCCAGAGCACCTACAGTTGCATTTCTTTCTGTCAGCTTTATCCAGCATTTGTTCTTGTCTTTTATTTGAAGTTAAATATATTCCTTGCTCACTACAACACTGGGGGAAGGAAGGTTTCTGTTGTCGTCGTGCTTGTACAATTGTTTATTTAAAAACATTGGCGAAAACAAAAACTGTATGTAGATGGAATGGAGATAAGACAGAAAATGAGAGAGACTGATGATGAGTGTGCCTATTCTAGACTGGGAGGCGTGCTACACTGAGTAGTGTCTCCAAGGCTGCAGGAAAGGATGGTTGATTGTGAGCAGGTGGACTTTCCACTGGAGGAGAGAAGTCCTGCGCTCAACAACCTGTGCAGAACCAGAAACTGGTAATGCTTCAAATCAACTTACAGACCTGGAGGTAGAAATTTAAGAAAACTCGTTTAGCACATAGTTTCCTAGAAAATATTAGCTACTATTTGCTGAGCATCTGTCAGGTCTGTCTGTAGTATGGAAGATCTGAGTACAGGGGAAACTGGATTAGTAACAGTGGGTCAGAAAATTATATAATATTCAACCAAAATTCCTGCTTTACATACACAGCACCTGGTATTTCCAGAACTAGAAGGTAAAGAAATTATTTGTGCTTGAACTTGCAGAAAACTGCCTTTTCCCTTCTTCTCTTGCATCTTAACCTGGAGCTTCCCTTTTCTTGAGCCTCAGTGTGCTTCCCAACTCAATTTATAATTGACTTCCTGCAGTTTCTCCTTAGGACAGGGCTTTGTTTTGGGGGTGGTTAATTTGTAGGGTTCATAGGAAACAGACCACTCACAGCACTGCTTTTTGCCACCCTCACTCTCAGCTATGAGTTGAGGCCCAGGAAGCCTTCTGCCAGCCTCAGCTGCTGTTCTCAGATTAATCTGCTGAGTTCTTTTTGCCTAGTAAGAATCTCTGAATTTAGGAACATAGATGTTAGCGCTTGTATTTCTAGGTTTTCCAGTTCCCAGGGCCATTAAACATTTTTTTCCTTTCCTTTCCTTCTTCCAAAAAAATTGGTGATTCCCCTGGGTCCCTGTGGTTTAACCTCACAAAACGTCCATGATGACACCCTGTTACATTGTTTTGTCGTAGTTAATACCTTGTTATCCCAGTTGCTCAGTCAGTTTTTGTGAGAGATTCAGGGATCTTAATAAAACTGTGCTGCTACTGCTACTAACATCTTGCATAAAAGCCCGATTAATTAAAATGTTTATTTTGCATGTGATTTGAACTTGTAATTTTTATTCAAAGTTTTTCAACAGAGATCCAGAAAAGACCCTCCTTATATTTTTAGTTTTGTGCATTGCAACACTTTTTAGTGAAAAAAAAAATGAGAACAACACAAGTGATTTTAAAAGAATAAACCTACAATCCATTAATTATAAAATGAAATACTATGCAGGTGTTAAGAATGAGGGAATCAATAAGAACTTGTGTGGGGTAACTATAAACTTTTAAAAAATAAATTTAATGCTCATGTGACCATATTATCGTTAAAAAAATACAAGCATACTTGCACACACCTTCAAGCAAAATGGGTACACGCATTTAAAAATATTTAAATTAAGTAAATGGCCCAATAATTTAACTTCGTACAATTCTATGTTCTCTGATTATTTTATATGCCAGAAACAGGCATTACTGTTTTGTTTATTTCATTTGAAATAATTGTAGTCACATGAGGTTTAAGTTATAATACAGAGAGGTCACATATGCCTATTTTCTAATTGGTATCTTATTACTATTGAGTTTTGAGAATTTTTTACATATGCTAGATGTAAGTTCTTTGTCAGATATATGGTATGCAAATTATTTCTCCCAGTCTGTAATTCATTTTTTCAACCTCTTTACAGGGTCTTTCTAAGTAAAAAAAAAAAAAAAAAAAAAAAAGTGTTTATTTATTCTAATGAAGTCCAGTTTTATCACTTTTTCCTTTTGTAGATTTTGTTTTTAATATCAAGCCTAAAAATTCTTTGCCTAGCCCAAGGTCTCAAGAGTTTTCTTCTATTTTAAAAAGTTTAGTGAATTTATTTATTTATTAATTATTTTTGAGACGAGGTTTCGCCCAAGCTGTAGTGCAGTGGTGCCATCATTGCTCACTGCAGCCACTAACTGCTGGATTGAAGTGATGCTTCCACCTCAGCCACTTGAGTAGTAGCTGGGATTACAGGCACGAGCTACCATACACAACTTTAAGTTTTATAATATTACATTTTACATTTAAGCCTGTGATTTATGTGAGCTAAATTTTATATAAAGTATAAATTTAGGTCAGTCTTAGTTTTTGTACCTGTGAATGTCCAATTGCTGTAGCACCATTTGTTGAAAAAGATATCCTTCCTTTAAACTGATTTTGCATCCTTGTTAAAAAAAAACAGTTGAATATAGTGTGGTCTGTCAGCTTTTAATAAGATAAAAACATTGACACTCACCAGATATCGAAGTTTAGAAATTTTTTTAAAGCTAAACTTCTGAAAATAGAATAAAAACACCTTCACATGTCAAATTAGTCAATTTCTATAGGACTAATTCATTTAAATATATTAAAATACAAAATAATTCAAACTACTAAAGTGATAATACAAGACTATAAATTTAAAGGCTAATTATTAAGTCAAATTGCTGTATTCTACGTGTTAGAGTGAGTTCAAAAGATCCATTGCATTACTGAATAGGCAAAAGTTTTAATTTCAGAGGATGAAACTGATATATTACTGCCACCTTGTGGATATTCTGTTATTACAGGCTATTATAAAAAGCAATGAGGGTATGTAATCTGTTCTAAGAAGAAGCATTTCCTTTTTTTGAGGTTTTTATTATTGTTATTATTACATTTTAAGTTCTGAGATACATGTACAGAACGTGGAGGTTTGTTACATAGGTATACACATGCCATGGTGGTTTACTGCACCCGTCAACCCATCATCTACATTAGGTATTTCTCCTAATGCTATCACTCCCCTAGCCTCCCACCCCCCTGACAAGCCCCGGTATGTGATGTTCCCCTCCCTGTGTCCATGTGTTCTCATTGTTCAACTCAAAAGAAAAACAGAAGCATTTTCTGCTTTCCCAATTTCTTAAATACAATGCAACTTTATGTTTAATTTAACTAACTTAATTTTTTGAGACAAGGTCTAGCTCTGTTGCCCAGGCTGGAGTGGAGTGGTGTGAATATGGTTCAGTGAAACCTCCACCTCCCTGGCTCAAGTGATCCTCCTTCCTCAGCCTCTCGAGTAGCTAGGACCACAGGCACGCACCACCATGGCCAGCTAATTTCTTTTTTATTTTTTATAGAGATGAGGTCTCACTTTGTTGTCCATGCTGGTCTCAAACTCCTGGGCTCAAAGGATCCTCTTGCCATGGCCTCCCACAGCGCTGGGATTTATAGGTGTGTGCCATGGCACCAGGCCTAAGCAACTGTAGAGAAGCCTTTTTTTCTTTCATAAAAACAGTTGTAGATATTTTCCTTATGGAATTTATTTGTGGTGAAATATTTTAATAGATGGTTTGTTAATAATTTGTCTCAGATAATAATTGATTAATATTAAAACTACAAAACAAGTAGGATCTTCTTTTTCTATGAAAAATGAAAGTTGATTCTGACATTTATGTAAACATTTTAAATATTCAAAGTATATAAATGTGAAGTCCTATCAAGAGTAATTAGACAAGAGAAAGAAATAAAGGGCATTCAAATCGGAAAGGAGGACATCAAATTGTTCCTATTTGCAGATGACATGATCTTATATATAGGAAAACCTGAAGACTACCAGAAAACTTTTAGAACAAACAAATTCAGTGAAGTTGCAAGACACAAAACTAATACATGAAGATTGGTTGCATTTTTATATATGAACAACAAACTTGCTGAAAAAGAAATTAAGAAGGCAAACCCATTTACAATAGTTACCAAAAAAAAAAACCCAGACATAAATGTAACTAAGGAGGTAAAATGAAAACTACAAAACACTAATGAAAGAAATTGAAGAGGATACAAACAAATGAAAAGACATTCATACTCATGGATCAGAAATATGAATGTTGTTAAAGTGACAGTACTACTCAAAAGCAACCTACAGATTCAATGCAATCTCTATCAAAATACCTATGAACATTCTTCACAAAATTAAAAAAAAATCCAAAGAGATTTTATGGAATCAAAAAGTATCCTGAATAGCCAAAGCCATCCTAAGCAAAAAGAACAAAGCTGGATGTATCATGCTACCAGACCTCAGAATACACTACAAAACTGTAGTAACCAAAACATCATGGTATTGGTATAAAAACAGACACATAGACCTATGGAATAGAATAAAGAACCCAGAAAATCCACATATCTCAGCCAACGGATTTTTTACAAAGATGCCAAGAACACTCATTGGGGAAAGGATAGTCTCTTCAATAAATTGTGCTGGAAAAACTGGATATCCATATGCAGAAGAATGAAACTAGACCTCTGCCTCTCACCCTATACAAAGATCAACTCAAAGTATCTCAAATACCCAAATATAAGACCCAAAATGGTAAAGCTACTAGAAGAAAACATAGGGGAGATCCTTCAGGACATTGCTCTGGGAAAATATTTTATGAATAAGGCATCAAAAGCACAGGCAACAAAAGAAAAAATAAACAAATAGGATCACATCAAGCTAAAAATCTTCTGCACAGCAAAGGAAATAAGAAAGTGAGTGAAAAGACAACTTACAGAATGGGAGAAAGTATAAACTCATCTGGCAGGAAATTAATATCAAGAATATACAAGGAATTC